>NC_000002.12:155974466-156277496 GCF_000001405.40 Homo sapiens
CAGTATCATCTTATGCCCCCTGTTATTACCTAAACTAGAGTGCAAAATGTTGAACTAGCAATGATCTTGATCTTTCACATCACTTTCAATCTTTGAATAGATTAGAAAAGGTTACTAACAGTTTTTGAGTCTGTTTTCTCTCTCTCTCTCTAACAAACCACACAGTTTTTCATATATAAATTCCATTTTTACTTCTTACAATTAAGAAAGTTTGCAGTGTTTAAAAGTGAATTAACTACAATCTTATTCTAAAATTCAAATTAAAATGCTTTTGAGATGTGGATATATTTAGTTAACTCTTTATTGCCACTTTTTTGGCAGACTATGAAAAAACAGTATTTGTACAGCATTTATAATTTTACTACAGCCAAGAAAAGTGAACAAATTTCTGACAAGAACTCCATCCTTATGCCTCAACAAAAGAGACTTAAATAAATCTCAGATCTTAATCTGAAATCTGAGATGATTAAACCAACAAAATCACATTTGGTATATTAACTCTTTCTAGCTTTCTTCTACTCTTTCCACTGTTGTTGTGTATTGTAATCATTTTCTTCACAAAATTTTCTTTTCATTTTTTAAATTATTCTTACCATGGGAAACTAAGTGTTCAGGAACAACAGAAAGGTTTGAGAGACACAGGTTATATTTCCATTCTCTTCATACCTCAGGCACTAACTTAAACAATTCTCTATTTTACTTGTTAATTTTCTTAAATATAAAAATATTAAAAATAGCCATAGCAGCTAATGTTCACATGGTAAGGACACGCCTTTTAAACATGATAATCATCAACAGTGTATTTAAAAATACAACAATATTCTCTAAATTTGGGTGCATGTAAGAGCATTTAGGCAATTTTTTATGTATGTTTTCAATTTCTTTGTTTTCTTGGCATACCTTATTTTTACAATAAACCAATCAATATTATCTGTTGTTTTAGAAGAAAAGAGGGCAAAATCCTCTCTTCTGACTGCTGACATTTTTTATTTGTGCATATCAACATCGTTTTTGGAAACTCTACAAGTATCTCCAAAGTATTTTAATTTATTTAATTTAAAAGTAAAAATAAGTAAACTTTAGGAAAGTAATAAGTAGAAACCAAAATACTGGGAGTTACTATATCTTCTCAGATGCATATAATTCTGTGTTGTAATTTCCAATATGCTTTTGAAATGAAAATATACCAAAAATTTAAAGAAAAAGCAAAAATCTAGGAGAAAGTTTGTAGTTTATTTTCTTAAAAACTGGCAACTTTAAGCCTGTTTTTCTTTTTTTTTTCTGTGCTCATGAGAAAAGAAATTCCATATTTTCTGGAACTGTTTTAAGATCATTTAGTAATAAGCTGCAAACACTTTTAGCTGTTAGTAATAAGCTGCAAACACTTTTAGCTGGTGGAAAAGTTGGTCTCATAGTGCAAACAATACTTCTTGGTTTCAGAAGAGGGGGAGCTAAAGGCCAAAGGGTAAATTCCACTTGTAACAGGCTGCATATTTTTGTGGGCAGAATCAATGCCAGAATGGTCAACAGCCTTTACACCACCAAGCTGGCTTGTTGCTAATGGGATCCACTTCCTTTAGATATGATAGAAAACTCATGTTGAAAAACTAAATGTATTGATAAGTTGTGGCAAATTGACCCCTGCCTTATTTTCTTAAATTTATGATTTATGTATTTTCCTCTTGAAGATCTGCTTTGTGAGGTTTTGTCTTTGTTTTATTCAGAGTGTAGGAAGAGAAGGAGGGTGTGATGAAGAAAAAGCCTGTGAAAGAGTTTGTTTATAACATTTGTTCTTATTGTTTAGAAGAATTTTTAAACCATTATGGAAAAGGCCAAAAATAAGGAGAAGGGATAATTATGAAGACAATATTTTTAAGAGTCTTTTTGAGAATAGGGGTAAAAAAAAAAAGCCAGTTATAAAGCATGTCTCCCCAAATCCAAGTTTCCTGTCTAATTAGGTTCTGGCAGAAGTTACATTCTAAAGCACTCTTCAAAACATTTGGGAATTTTAAAAATTCTCTCTACAGGGGACTATATTGGCAAGCACAGGCCCAACAGTGAAGAAAATGAGGGAATCAATAAGACAGCCCAAGTCCAAAGAGTATGCATTCTTGTACTGTACCTGCCCAAGGGAAACGTATTATGCATATTAATTTAAAGAAATAAAACTTTAAGAGAAAGCTTATATTGTACCAAGTGTGGTAATATATATCTTGTTTTGATTCATAGCAATTTTCATACCAATTTTTAATTATTCTACTCAATAGATATTGATGACATTACCTGTGAAGATATAATATTTAGGGGTAGTAATTAAATGCATGCCTTTACTGTGAAACTGTGAACTCAAAGGACATTGGTGGAGATTATTTATGTTCTTTTATTTCTGCATGATTCCAGGCAATAACTGTTACAAATGAAAAAAAAAAAGTTTTTAAAAACTAGCCAATATTTAATAATACCTTGGAAACACAAACCCACCACCCACAAATGTTCATCTAAACTTTGGCTTGGAAGTCATTAGCTACCCATCAGAAATATTGAGCATTCCTAGTGGAAATTTTATGAGTTAAGATAATTTGGGTTCAAGTGCCATCCTTGTTACTATTTTGGTTTCATGAATAAGAACTTTGTAACTCTGGAGTTTAGCTTTCCCATCAGTAAAATAAAGTCTTTCTGATTTGCAAGGTCTTCTCAAATTGTAGGAATAAGTAACTAGTAAGCACCAGTTGTAGGCCACCACTAATTTTCGTTATCTATTCTACATTAATTCTTCTCAGTTCCATTTAATTACAGTTAATCTGAGTAGCAAAATTAACATTCAAGGATTAAAGAACAATAAAAACTAATTTTTACTTCGTTCCATCTTTTAGATAACACTTTTTAAAAAATCCAGAAGCATTAAAGTCACAGAATGTTGAGAAATTTCAGGCAACTTAGCTGGTCCAAGAGGGAAAGTCATGTTGGCAATTCATTATTTTGCTTCTAAAATCTGTCTACACTACTCCCCTTTCCCACCCAGGTTTTTGTATCTTATATGATCATGTCTTAGCTCAGGCTGCCATTTTAAAAATACTATAGACTGCGTAGTTTAAATAACAGAAATTCATTTTCTCATAGTTTTGAGGGCTAGAAATGCACGATCAAGGTTCCTGTAAATTAGGTTTCTGGTGAGAACTCTTTCTGGCTTGCAAACTTCCACCTTCTCACTGTATCCTCACATGGCAAGAGAGAGAGAGTTCTTCTGTCTCTTCTTATAAACACATGAATCCTATCAGATCAGGACCTCATTCTTATGACCTCATTTAACCTTAATTACCTCAAAGACCCTATCTCCAAATACAATTGGAGATTGAGGTTTCAGCATATAAATTTTTGGGGGGACACAAACATTCTGTCCATAACAGATTAACAACTACTCTCTCAACCAGGTTAGAAACTGTCTGACTCCTTCCTTGCCTTACTAGTAGTTAAGTCCAACTCGATTCCTCCTTCCAATGCGTTTTCAATTCTACTTTTTCTTCCCTCCTTTTCAATGCTTCTCATTTCTTGGATTTTTCCAAACAGATACAGTGAACTTCATAAAACAATAATGAATTTCTAGTGACCCAGGTAGTGGTACTCTGTGTGTGTGTGTGTGTGTGTGTGTGTGTGTGTGTGTGTGTGTGGTGGATAAGGAGGTGTGGCTGGGGAGTGGGGGTAGTAATTAGTCAAATTAAAATCACAAGAAAAGCTTTTGTAAAACATATTTTTTCCAAGAAGTTCTCTTGTCTACCTATAAGCTTTCATTTATTTAAAAAAAAAATAGTACTGGTAATCAACCCGCATTCTCCTCTTTTGCCCAACTGCAGTGTCACCCCATGTTCTAAATTACTGAAGTTCAGAATAAGTTTCACAGTCTTTATTCTGATATTTATTCCAGAAAGTAACCATGATGTACCCTTTTAGGCTAAGTATGCTTTACAACAGGGGTCCCTAACCAGTACCAGTTCATGGCCTGTTAGGAAGCAGGGCACACAGCAGTAGGTGAGCAGTGGGCGAGCAAGTGAAGTTTCATCTGTATTTATAGTCACTCCCTATAACTCGCATTACCACCTGAGCTCCACCTCCTGTCAGATCAGTAGTGGGATCAGATTGTGAACTGCTCATGTGAGGGATCTAGGTTGCATGCTTCTTATGAGAATCTAATGCCTGGTGATCTGTTACTGTCTGCCATCACTCACAGATGGGATCGTCTAGTTGCAGGAAAACAAACTCAGGGATCCCACCAATTCTACATTATGGTTAGTTGTATAATTATTTCATTATATACTACAATGTAATACTAATAGAAATAAAGTGCACAATAAATGTAATGCACTTGAATCATCCTGAAACCATCCCCCCTCCCTGGTCCATGGAAAAATTGTCTTCCACAAAAATGGTCCCTGGTGCCAAAAAGCTTGGGGACAGCTGCATTACAACAAACATGTACACACACTCTACTTAACTACTCTAAACTAGTCACAAATACTAAACGTCATCCTAAATCAGTGATTCTTAAACTTTTTGGTATCAGGACTGCTTTATACTTTTAACTAGCATTAAAGAATCCAAAGAATTTTTGTTTGTATGGATTATGCCTATTAATGGATACCATATTGGAAATTAAACCCATAAACTTCTTAAAACACAAGTCTATACAGCATACATTCTGTTAGTGTTCAGAGTGATTATGTAATTGTAAGTCAAATAGCTTCTGGAAAACTGCATGACACTCAAGAGAGAATGAAAGTAAGAAAGCAACTAACATCCTGGAATCATTCATTATAAAAGTTTGAACTTTTGTCTCAAAGAACTCCATGAGTCCCATAAACTATATGTTGTGCATCTGTACTGTAGACTCTTCATAATTACTAAGTATCAGTCTTGAAATTTTTGATCCTAAAATCACTTCATCCCCAATTGTATTTTTTTCTAGAGGCCTAGTTCTCATGTCAAGTTCTCTATGAAGCATTTGTTGACCTAGTTATTACATAATGATGGAGGTGATGACAAAAAAATCAATAAAATCTATATTAAAGTAACTAGATTAAACAAAATATATTTATAATAAAGTAAGTGATAATATATTTATACTAAAATTATATTAAGATAATATTTTATGTAAAGTGGAAACACTTGCTAATGGGTTATAAAAGAAATAGAGAAGAGTTATCAGCAAGGTGGTAGAATATGAGGCAAGCTTCTCATACCATCCCCAACAAAAATAAGAATTCTGCACCTATCCACAAAGTCTCGCTGTGAGATCCTCGAAATTTAGGTAGGAGATTATGAAATCCTGGTGAAGTACAAACCTAGAAAGAGTGTTTTGAGAGTGCAGACCAGCATCCAAGTTGCAGACCCTCTGATTGTGTTCCCAGATTCAAACCTGGCAACAGTGTAATTCCCCAAAGGGCATGGCTACAATGCCATTCAGACTTGAACCTGCAACCAAAACCATTTATCAAGGGACCTGGAAGGAATCATGCACACTAGTCTCTCAGCATAAAGGCTCACCTGCCCACTAACATTGATCTTGGGAGTGGATCTGAAAGTTACCCTGTAAATCACCTCTAGCCACCCTCACCTCTCAGCTTATTACAGCTCACACAATAACCCCGAGGGAAACTAACTTACATCTCAGAGCCTGGGAATTTGCCTGAACCTTTGTAATGGGCCCATTGTCCTACAGCAGTTCCTGAGGGGGCCCAGCTCAGTTCTGGGCCTTCTTGCTAGAACTGGGGAACTCCTCTGTTAGTGCAGGAAACCGCTGGGAAGCACACATGTCTGGGCCACTGAGATGGGCTCACCAGCATCTTTTCACATCAGATTCAGAGGAAGTCCAGAGTCAGTTCCAGCACCCTTGCAGCAGTCATGGCATTGTCCCACCTATACAGGAATCTTCTGGGAGACACACATCCATCTTGGCCACCAGGAATGACTTCTAGACTTAAGTTTCTGGTGAGCTTTTCCATATAGCCTGGGTAACCCCCTTAGGTTTTCCCCAGATCCATATGGACAGAGGTGCCAAGCCAATCTTGGAGCCCTCACTGTGAACCAGGGATTAGGGCAATTGCTAGTGCTGAAATGGTTGCCGTGATCACAGTCTCTGACAACAGTCTGCTTAGACGACTGGATAGGCCCACTGAAGAAAGACAGGCACACACAAAGCCAGAATTAAAAGACTGGAGTGAATACCTAACTTGTTAATGTGCAGACATTAGCATATGTCCACAAGCATCAAGAACAATTAGGGAATTATGACCTCACCTTATAGACAAAACAAGTCACCAGTGATGGATTCTAAAGAGATGAAGATGTGTGATCTGTTAGAAAAGAAATTGGAAATAGCTTGGTTAAAAATGCTCAGTGAACATCAAGAAAACACAAAGAAACAATTCAGAAATTTATCAGAGAAATTTTAAAGAAATATTAAAATAATTTTTTTAAAAAATAATATAATTATCATATTACATAATATAATAATCCACCTTGCTCAGGAGGCATGAAAGATTTGAAGTGAGGAGAGAAGGTGGCAATAGTCATCTAGAAGGGTGAGTGAGTGAAAGGGTTATCGAAATGTAGAATTCTTGGGTGGAACTAAAGGTCTCCTAGGATATAGTAGTCATAGAATTGAAAGTGAAAATAGTGTGATAACAAGAACTGGCAGAGATCTTAACTTGAGATCTGTATTAGTCTGTTCTCACACTGCTACCAAGAATGACCTGAGACTGGGTAATTTATGGAGAAAAGAGGTTTAATAGACTCAAAGTTTCACATGGCTGGGGAGGCCTCAGAAAACTTACAATCATGACAGAAGGCAAAGGGGAAGCAAGGCATGTCTTCACATGGCTGAAGAAGGAGGAAGAGAGCAAAGGGGGAAGTGCTGCACACTTTTAAATAAACAGATCTTGTGAGAACTCACTCACTATCATGAGAACAGCAAGGGAAAAATCCCCCCCCATGATCCAATCACCTCCCACCAGATCCCTCCCCCAACACTCGGAACTACAATTCAACATTAGACTTGAGTGAGACTTGAGTGGGAACACAAACCTAAACCGTATTAGGATTTATCCCCAAGGGATCTGTGGCTGAAAAATATTTCAATATAACTGATTTTGTAAATACTCCTTTGTAGTATGATCATATGTATTCGTGTATATTTGTGTGCATTTAAAAACATTTTACTGAAACGGGTACAAAGAATTTACCAGACTGACAAAGCAGTTCATGCCACAGATAAAGGTAAAAATTTTTGGACTTTAGGGAGTATCTATAAAAGTCACAACTGGAGGTCAGATGAAGGACAAAAACATTGGGGAAAAATCCACTACTTGATGTTTGCTGATAGAGGCAAGCCATTCTGTGAAGGGACTTTCTTACTCTGAACAAGAATCAATCAATATATGTTGAATAAATGAGTATACTCACCCAATAACCTGGGCCATCCACTTTCAGAGGTAGATCCTGAAATACATTTTGATTTTCATTTCTACAAATATTGGTCTTTACAAGCTTTTTAAATCTTACTTCTTGAGTGAATTTTTAATTTGATATTCATCTGTCCATATGCTACATTATCTAGTTCATCCAGACTATGAAATCCATGGCTTGTAAAATTGGGTATTTTTTCCCATAATTATTTCAAACTCTACCTCATTTCTGAAATTTTACCCCTTTCTATTCTTAATGTTTACTTTTGCATTTTATTTATTTTTCTGTGCTATCAGACTTGCTATGGGTTTGGTTTCTTTACTTGATCCTTTCAAAGAACAATCTTTAGAGTGTAATGATGCAATCTAGGCTTTTTGGTGTGTTTTGTGTTTGGTTTGTTTTGTTTTGTCCTGCCTTGTCAATCCTGGGTTTTAATCAATGCCAACTTCATCAGTGTGCTAGCAGGGTGATCTTAGGCAACTTACTTAAGCTTCTTGTGCATCAGTTCCTTATCTATAACGTAGGGATAATATTTTCCTACCTCATACAGTTGTTTTGAAGTCTCAATGAATTTATGATTAGAGTTAGAAGTGTGGCCAGCTCATAGTATGCTGTCAAGAAATATTTTGTTTACGATCACTATTTTCTGTTTTCTCATATATAAAACACACAAGACATTTTCTACTTTTCTTGTTTTCTAATAAATAAATGATGGCTATACATTGCATTTTCTAACTTTGTCTTTAATTCACAAGTGTTGATATATATAAATACTCTGTCATTCATTTCAAAATTTCTTGTCATCACAGTTGTATTTTTCTCTTTATATGCAAGACTTAGAAAGGCTTTAAAATGTTCCACTAGATGGATTATTAGGATCATGGGACATTCTTTTGTGGTTCACTTCAAATTTTACCATCAAATAAATATCTTCTCTTATTTTGGTGTATTAGAATTTTCTAGAGATTTTCTTGTAAGTTGTTCATGGTTTTTATTCAACAATTTCTATGAATGATTCATTGAAATTAGAGGATAATTACTTTCTCTATTTAGTGCAAAACTATATTTGTGTATGCATACATATTTATGTGTGTATGTATATTATAAACAATTCTGCTAAATCTCTTTCATTGTTATTTACTTTTGTTGTTGCCTATTTCTGTGAAAACTAGGAATAATCTGCCAATTGCTGAATGTCCATGTCTTCTTTTATTTACATCATAAATTGCTTTATATCTCGATGCTGTCATGTTGTTGATTGAATAAAGGCACATAATTCTACATCTTCTTGGTAGAGGTATGCAATTTGCCTCAGTAGCATTTAATGCTTTTTGGTTTATTTTTGTCAGAAATTAGTTTATATTGTGTAGATAATAGCCTATGAACATGTTTCCTTCTTCCATTTTCAATTTTCTGCATAATTTTGTTTTCTGGAGGATTCTTACAGATACCATGATTTCTAAAAAGATTTAAAAAAACAAGTAAGCAGTCTCTGTGTTTAAAAGGATTGTTTAATCCATGTTTAATATTGATCACGATTTACTGGTCTATGTGAGACTATTCCTGCTATATATTTTTTAGCTGTTCTGCTTGATATTCTTTTCTATTGTTGTATTTTCTTCCCTTTCCTGCCATTTGGAAAATTATTCAAGTTTTCTTCCTCTATTTTTCCTTTATTTATCTGGGGTTTTGGAATTTATACATCTATTTCTATCCTCCTGCTAAATTGTTAAACAATGTATTTAAACTTAAGATATTTCCAAGAGTTAATCTATATCATATTGTTCTCTTTGATTAGACAAATATAAATAAATAATCAGGCTTTCCATATCCTTTCTCCCCAGCTCTCATATTTTTGGTCGCACAAGAGCAAGTTTTTTTTACATTTCAGACTCATTCTTTTGACTTTCACCATCTTTGAGCTTTAACTTGGATAGGGCATTTAGTATTTGTGCTTCAATTCTCTGTGCAATAGAATTTACAATTAAATAGAGGCATACTGTGTACCATCAGCATTATAATTAACATAGAATAAAGCTATACAAATTCTTAGTGTGAATTTGTTGAAGAAATATACACATAAATCAGTGAAATAGAATAAAGAGTCCAGGGAGATAAATGCCTATGTCAGCACTTAAAAATTTGAATCATTTAGAAAAAATTGACTATTTTATAAACGGCCATATAATAATTGACTATTTGGAAAATATGAAGTTCAATTCCATATATGCATGCAACATACCTAAAAGTATATTTCAGAGAGGTATAAAGACAAATGTAAAAAATTTAAAGATACAACACATTAGAGAAAAAATTGAAATATTTTAATAGTCTTGAAATTAAAAAGCCTTTTTAAATAAATTGCAATCTGAAATCCATAAAGAAAACATTTGACAGATTTGGCTAATTTTTATACTTTGGTATTTTCAAAGATCTTATGGCCAAAGATAAAAAACAAGGCACAAACTAGAAAAAATATTTTCAACATATGTAATAGTAAAAATTTTTATAATCAAAATATATATCTACCTCCTACAAAGCAAAAAGAATAAACAATGTAACAGAAAATGAGAAAAGAATAAGAGAAAGCAACTCAGAGAAGAAATATGATTAGCCAATAAATACACAGAAATGTCATCAACCTCACTAAGATCAGACAAAGATAATCTAAAAATAAGATTTCAATGTTTTGTTTTGTTTTGTTTTCTTTGAGGCAGGTTCTAGGTCTGTCACCCAGGCTGGAGTTCAGTGGTGCGTTCTCAGCTGACTGCAGCCTCTGCCTCTCAGGTTCAAGCGATTCTTGTGTCCCAGCCTCCCGAGTAGCTGGAACTACAGACATGCCACCACACCTGGCTAATTTTTGTATTTTTAGTAGAGAAGGGGTTTCACCATGTTGGTCAGGTTAGTCCTGAACTTCTGACTTCAAGAAATCTGCCCTCCTCGGCCTCCCAAAGTGCTGGGATTACAGGTGTGAGTCACCATGCCCAGCCAGATACCAATGTTTTGTCAAAAAAAGGAGAAATAATTCTTTTAAAAAATATTAATATCTAGTTTGGGTAAAGGTGGAAAAAATGAGCAAATTTCTATATTTTTGGTTAAGCCTTTTCAGAGAGAATTTTTTTAAATGACAAAGTTATTCCACATCTAGAAATGTATTTTAGAGAAATGCAAGCACATGTGAGCAAAAAAGACTATGCAAAAGTATTCATTACAGCAATGATTACTTACCTAAGAAAAAAAAAATTTAAGTCATCTTGATGTCTCTCACTAGAGAATGATTAAATAAATTATGATTCATTCATACAATATCTTACAACTGTTTTAGAAGTATAAGGTAGAACAAAATATACTGACATGTAATGATTTCTATAACATTGGGGGCACAAAGTTATCTGCATATATACAAATATATATTTATATTCCTTTTGTGTAAGATAGTGACAGAGAAAGAGAGAGACACATAAAAAAAAGACAGAGAAGTGAGGGGCAAAAGGAGGAAAGAAGAGGAAAATGAAACATAGTCATGTATTCATACAGGAAATATTTATTGAACATCTGGATATACCAGTCTTTGTTCCATGATCAAGACAGACAGGGTCACTGCTCTTAAAGAGCTCTTCTTCTAGAAGCTGACAATGAAATGTAAGCAAGAACATGAACAAATAAATAACTATGTAAGGAAGTCATCCACACAGTAATTATTCACACATTAAGAAGTATTATAAAGAAAATAATATGGAGGATGCCATAGAGAATAAAGAATGGCTGTGGCAAATAATAGATCAGTCCTCAGAGAAGCCTCATTTGAACTGAAACCTGAATGATGGGAAGGAGCTAACCAGAGAAGGGAAAAGAGAGTTTCCGGCACAGAGCATGGCATCTGCAGTCTCTGAAGCAGAAATGAGTTTAGAGTGCTTAATTTAGGAAAAAAGAGACAACCAATATGACTGGTGAATATCAGTACAGACAGAATTGTGAGAGCCAAGGCCAGAGAGGTAGGCAAGGACCAGGTCACATGGGGTCTTGAGGGTCATAGCAAAAGGTCTGGATTTTATTCATAGTGAATGATTATTGGAGGGTTTCCATCAAGTAACAAAACTTGATTTGTGTTTATATGTATTCACTTTCACCACTACATATAGAATGAATTGCAGGGGCAACAGTTGAACAGAGGGACCATTTAAGAATGTGTTACAGTGGCATAGATGACAGAGTATGATGGTGTGCATTGTCAGTAAAAATGGAGAAAGTTAAATGAGTTTAGCATACACTGAGGAGGGAAAGCAGCAGGGCCTACTAACGTGGAGAACATGAGAAAGAAATCAAAGAAGACTCCAAGGTTTTGGAATTCAGGAATTAGGGTAGATGGTGTAACAACTTATTAAACAGAAAGACAAGGGGAGGAGCAGATGTTGAACTTGCAGGAATCAAAAACTCAGTTTTGGTCATCATAGGCTTGAGTTACTATTAATAATAAAGCTAACTCTACTGTAATACTGTGTATGTTTTAAGCACTTGTTATATATTACCTCACTTAATCTTTATAAAGCCCTATGGCATAATACTTCTATAGAGTTTAAAACTTTTTAATGTTTTGTTTCTTTAAAAAAATTGGTACTCTATAGATAAGATACTCATAAAAATTCTACATTAACTTAAATACATTTGTTTCTTATTTTGTCACTCTAGGTGTGCACTTTTTAAAAACATGAATGTCAACAGTTGCAGATAAAATTTAGAAAATTTTGCGAGAAAGTTGAACATTTTGGTTTATTAAACCTAAAAGAAATGGATTTTAAACATCCCTCATAAATCTGATCCCTGATTCTGAGAGTTCAGGCTCGTTGGAGGGGGGAAAGGAGAAGAGATTACATCACAGTTTTTCCTCAGGTTTCTTTATCGGCTAAGGCAGTGTGACTATTTGTACATCTCATCCTCTGACACTCCATTCCTAACATGAAGACTAGTGAAAAGTTAAACAAATTACTATTTTAACTGAGTTTGAAGAAGTTTATAGCTGTAAACTTAACTGGATAAAAATCTTGACATTCTATGGGTTTCCAGTTTTATTCAGCTCCTAAAAGAGAACTCTTGTCATCCTGTTTCTATATATATTTTAATTGCACTTTGTTCTAAAGAACTACATTCATCCTACAGCAAATTGGAATGGGATGCATATGTTTGCTCATAAAACCTATAACAGCCCTTAAAATGTAATCAATTTTCTCTAAAAAGACTGAATATTCATTCACAGTCCATCAAGCCACTCCCAGGAAAAGCAGTCTAATTTATCTTCTCCTAAGACCTTCATAACAACTACTTTTTTTCTGAACAGAAAGGAGGAAAAACATTTCTTCATTTCCCTAGTGACGTCTGGGACAATGCTTTGTCCAAAGCACCTGACTGCAACTTTCTTCTTCTTCAATCCATTGACAAGTGGTTTGTAAAAGTATTATTCTGTAAAATCACTAGACAATGGACGAATGATGCCCTTCCAAACAACACTTCTTGAAATTTCTAATCAAAATGTTCTATCTGAAGTAGCTTGGGTCTGACAGCAAGCCCCACCATGAAATGCCAATGTTTATTCATTCAGCGCTCCTCTGCCTTTCGAAGACGACTCCGGCTTTGTCCTCCTGCAGGGAAGAGCATGCTCTTACGTTTGCAGACAGCATTTGACAAAGTTCCACATCAGAGATCAAGGTCTTGGTAGAGAGATTGAGGTCTAAAAAAGGAGGAAAACAGAATGGACATAAATGTACATAAAATGGATTGAATGCTGGCTAAAGGGCAGAAGAGGGTATGGTCATAAATAAAAACTTTTCATGGTGACAAAAGGTAACTGGAGATATATTATTGGATCACTGTGAGGATCCCACTTATTTATTAACTGTTAAGGTGAATTTGGCAATCGAACTGAAAGGAAAATATCTTGTCTTTTAAATATAGTCATGTCAGAGAAATGGAGAATAACATTGAAATTCTATTTTCTGCAGGAAAAAGCAACATTAAATTATGGGATATATATTTTATAAATTGATTCAAGCTAATAGGCCTTCAGTTTGAAATGTTAATCTACATTTTTTGATATCTTTTACCTCCACACTATTATTAAAAAGGGCAAGTAAGCAAATTGTAAAGAGAAGGGAAAGAATTGAAAGTAGAGTGTCCATTAAATGAAATTGAAAAGAAGAATCTTTTTTCAAGAGAACAAGAAAATTATGAACTCAGCATGTAGCTATCATTGCTGGGGACCCCTTTGCCCTCTGACTCATCACCCAGAGTGTGTCAGATAAAATACAGGATTCCTAGTTAGACTTGAATGTCAAATAAACAAATAATAAATATTTAGTATAAGTATGTTCCATGCAATATTTATGGGATAGACTGGGCACGGTGGCTCACGCCTGTAATCGCAGTGCTTTGGAAGACAGACGGGGGAGGATCACTTGAGCCCAGGAGTTCCAGGCTCCAGGGAGCTATGATCGTGCTACTGCACTCCAGCCTGGGCGACCCTTCCTCAAAAAATAATAATAATAATAAACAAAAAATAGAAATAAAATTTTTTTAAAAAAATCATGAGATCTAGTCATACTAAAAATTATATGTTGTTTATCTAAATCTAACTTTATTGAGTTCCCTGTTTTTTGCTGCCGCCTATTGTTGTTTTTTAAAGTCTTGCAACCCTAACGCAGGCATAAACTGCCAGCCAACAGTTCTGAACATTTAAAAACTCTCAGCGAAAAAAATGGGATACTTGGGACCATGGTGTGGAAGGAGCACCTTGCCTGTGATTAAAGTGAAATCAAACAGAACTAATTATCATTATTAAATTAGATTTAGAGGGAAATGTCTTTGATTTTATTCTCTTTAACATAATCTTCCTCCCACTTTACTTTTCCTGTTCTCTTCATTAGGAATAAGATAGTTTGTAATAAGTTACATTTTACTGTGCTTAATGCTATAATGCATTTTTTGAGTCTTAAGGACATTTTTGTGTCTTGGTTTCTTTTAATAGAAAAAAATTGTTTTAGATTACATTAAACATATCAAAGTAATTTTAGACAGTTTGAACCTAAAATTAAATTCCTCAAAGCTCCTATCAATACAGGGTAATTTTTAAAAGCGACATGAGAGTGTCAGGAGGGACAGGAAATGTAGTTTGTCTCTTCCACTAAGTCGTATTGTATCTTTGAATAACTCTGTGGCTTCTTTTGGTCTCTGTTTATTCATATATGAAAAAAAACAAAGTTTAAAAATATCACAAGATTATATTAAAATCATCTCCTGTCTCAACACCTTAAAATTGCAAACATTGGAATTAAATAGTTATATTAAACATTGAAACTTTTATAAAAATGTACCTGTTTTTAATTGATGCAATTCTTCTTTTTTTTAATCTATAGTTACAGGGCCTATGCAACTTGAAATTTCTAGAATAGTCCCACTTTAAAATTCATTCCAGGACTTGCATTTCCAGCAATATGACTGGCTATTATGAAAACTCCCTTGCTATGAAAACTGCATAAATATAGCATAAAGCCTTTGATGTGCATAGCTGAGCTCATGAGGCAGTAAAGAGCTATCCCCATGGAAAGAAAATGGAGGAAAATTAAACACCAGAGAAGGAAGCGGACACTGACACTTTATTGTAGCTGTCCTGCTTCTGAGTGTGACTACAGGGGTAGCCTGAAGTTGCTGCTAGCCTCGGCAACCAAGAGTTTGGCCTTTCCTTTTTGTTTCTTTTCCTGAACTTTCATTTTAGGTTTATGGGGTGCATATGCAAGTTTGTTACACTGGTAAATTGTGTATTGCTGGGGTTGGTGTACAAATGATTTGCCACCCAGCTAGCGAGCATACTATCTGATAGGTAGTATTTCAAACCTTCCTCCCCATCCTTTCTCCCCCTCTGTAGTCCCCAGTGTCTATTGTTCTCATCTTTATGTCTATGTGTACCCAATGATTAGCTCCCACTTAAAAGTGAGAACATACAATATTTGGTTTTCTAAACCTGTGTTAATTTGCTTATGATAATGGTCTACAACTGCATCCATGTTGCTGCAAATAACATGATTTTGTTTTTTTAATGGCTGCATAGTATTCCATGGTGTATATGTACCACATTTTCTCTATCCTATCTATCATTGGTGGACATCCAGATTGATTCCATATCTTTGCTGAGATGAACATACACATACGTGTATCTCTTTGACAGAACAATTGATGTTCCTTTGAGTGGGCATCCTTGTCTTATTAGAATTCCTTTGGATATATATATATATATATATATATATATATATATACACAGTAATGGGATTGTTGGGTTGAATGGTAGTTCTGTTTTTAGTTCTTTGAGAAATCTCCAAACTCATTCCACAGTTGCTGAACTAATTTGCATTCCCACCAACAGTGTATAAGCATTTCCTTTTCCCTGCAGTTTTGCCAACATTTGTTTTTATTTTGGACTTTTTAACAATAGCCATTCTGACTTGTGTGAGATGATACTTCAGTGTGGTTTTTATTTGCATTTCTGTAATGATTAGGAATGTTGAGCATTTTTTCATGTTTGTTGGCCACCTGTATATGTTCTTTTGAGAAGTGCCTGTTCAGGTCCTTTGCCTACTTTTAATGGGGTCAGTTGGTTTTTATTGATTTGTTTAAATTCCTTATAGATTCTGAATATTAGACCTTTGTTGGATGCATAGTTTGCAAATATTGACTCCCATTCTGTAGGTTGTCTGCTTACTCTGTTGATAGTTTCTTTTGCTTGGCAGAAGCTGCTTAGTTTAATAGATCCCACTTGTCAATTTTTATTTTTGTTGCAATTGCTTTTGGAGACTCCATCATGAAATTTTTGCCAAGGCAGATATTCAGAAGAGTATTTCCTAGGTTTTCTTCTAGGAATTTTATAGCTTTAGGTCTTACATGTAAGTCTTCAATCCATTTTAAGTAGGTTTTTGTATATGGTGAAAGTAAGGGGTCCAGTTTCAATGTTCTGTATATGGCAAGCCTGATATCCCAGCACCATTTATTGAATAATGAGTCCTTTCCCCATTTTTTTGTTATTGTCAACTTTGTTGACAACTTTGTTATTGTTCAACTTTGTTGAAGATTAGATGGTTTTAGGTGTGTAGCTTTATTTCTGAGTTCTCTAACTTGTTCCATTGGTCTATGTGTCTATTTTTGTACCAGTACCATTCTGTTTTGGTTACTGTAACCTTGTGACATAGTTTGAAGTCCAGTAGTGTATGCCTCTGGCTTTGTTTTTTCTGCTTAGGAATACTTTGACTATTCAGGCTCTTTTTTTGGTTCTGTATAAATTTAAGAATGTGTTTTTCTAATTCTGTGAAAAATAATGTTGGTAGTTTAATAGGAATAGCTTCAAATCTGTAAATTGCTTTGGGCAGTATGACCAGTTTAATAATACTAATTATTCCTATCCACTAACATGGAAAGTTTTTCCATTTGTTTATGTCATCTCTGAATTCTTTCAGCAGAGTTTTGTAATTTTCATTGTAGAGCTCTTTCACCTCCCTCTGTAGCTGTATTCCTAGGTATTTTATTTTTAGTGTGTCTGTTCTGAATTAAACTGTATTATTGACTTGGCTCTTAGCTTGGAAGTCATTGCCGTATAGAAATGCTACTGATTTTTGTACATTGGTTTTGAATCCTAAAACTTTACTGAAGTTGTCTATCAGTACTAGGAGCCTTTCAGCAGAGACTATGGGGTTTTATATGTATAGAATCATATCATCTGCAAAGAGAAATAGTGTGACTTTCTCTCTTCCTGTGTGGATGCCTTTTATTTCTCCTTCTTGCTTAATTTCTCTGGCGAGGACTTCCACTTCCGTATTGAATAGGAGTGGTAAGAGTGGGCATCCTTGTCTTGTTCCAATTCTCAATGGCAATGCTTCCAGTTTTTCCCCATTCAGTATGATGTTGGTTGTGGGAGTTTGTCATAGATGACTCTTGTTATTTTGAGGTATATTCTTTTGATACTTAGTTTGTCAAGGGCTTTTCTCTAAACTTTTGTGGTTACATAGTAAGTGTATATATTTATTGGGTACATGAGATGTTTTGATACAGCATGTAATGTGTAATAATCACATCATGGAAAGTGGGATATCTATCCCCTCAAGCACTGATCTTTTGTGTTACAAATAATCTAATTATACTTTTTAAGTTATTTTTAAATGTACAATTAAGTAATTGTTGCTATAGTCACCATGTTGTGCTATCAAATATTAGGTCTTATTCATTCATTCTACTTTTTTGTACCCATTAACTATTCCCACCACACCTCCACCTCCCTTCTTGACCGTTTTTAACATGAAGGGGTGTTTGAATTTTATCAGATATTTTTCTGCATCTATAGAGATGATCATGTGGTTTATGTTTTTAGCTTTATATGTTTAATCACATTTATTGATTTGTTTATATTAAACCAACCTGAATCCTGGGAATAAAGCCTACTCAATCTTGGTAGATTCACTTTTTGATGTGCTGCTAGATTCGATTTGCTAGTATTTTGTTGAAGAGTTTAGGGTCTGTGTTCATGAAGCACACTGGCCGGAAGTTTTCTTTTTTGTTCTATCTCTGCCAGGTTTTGGTAGTAGAATGATGCTGGCTTCATAGAATGAGTTTGGGAGGAGTCTCTTCCTCCTTGATTTTTTTGGAATAATTTTAGTAGGATTGGTACCAGCCCTTCTTTTATGTCTGGTAGAAGTAGACTGTGAATCCTTCTGGTCCTGGGCTTTTTCTGGTTGGTAGGTTTTTTATTAATTATTCAATTTCAGAACTCATTATTGGTCTGTTTAGAATTTCTATATATTCCTGGTTCAATTTGAAAGGTTCTATGTTTCTAGGAATTTATCTGCTTCTTATAGGCTTTCTAGTTTGTTTGCATAAACGTATTCCTAATAGCCTCTGAGGGTTGTTTGTATTTCTGTGGGTTTGGTGGTGATGTCACATTTGTTATTTCTGATTCTGTTTATTTGGATCTTTCTTTTCTTCTTTATTAATCTAGCTAGTGGCCTATCTTGTTTATTCTTTCAAAGCACCAACTTTTGGTTTCATTTATCATTTGTAGGAGTTTTGCATCTTTTGTTGTTGTTGTTGTTTGTTTGTTTGTTTGTTTTTGTTTTTTTTGAGACAGAGCCTCACTCAGTCTTCCAGGCTGGAGTGCAGTGGGGCAATCTCAGCCTACTGCAAGCTCCGCCTTCCGGGTTCACGCCATTCTCCTGCCTCAGCCTCCCGTGTAGCTGGGACTACAGGTGCCCTCCACCACTCCTGGCTAATTTTTTTGTATTTTTGGTAGAGACGGGGTTTCACCGTGTTAGCCAGGATGGTCTCAATCTCCTGACCTCTTGATCCACCCATCTCGGCTTCCCAAAGTTCTGGGATTACAGGTGTGGGGTTTTGCATCTTAATTTCATTCACATCTGCTCTGATTTTGGTTATTTCTTTTCTCCTACCTGCTTTGGAGTTGGTTACCTCCTATTTTTCTAGTTCCTCAAGGTGTGATGTTAGGTTGTTAACCTGAAATCTTTCTAACTTCTTAAGGTTTAGTGCTGTAAACTTTCCTTAGAAGACTGCTTTAGCTGTATCCCAGAGATTCTGGCACATTGAGTCTTTGTTTTCATTAGCTACAAACAAAAAATTTATGTCTATATTAATTTCATTGTTTACCCAAAAGTCATTCAGGAGCAGGCTGTTTAATTTCCATGTGATTGTATGGTTTTGGTATCAATTTTTATTGCAGTGTGGTCCAAGAGCATGCTTGGTATGATTTTGTTTTTTTTGAATTTGTTGAGAATTGCTTTATGGCTGAGCATGTATTCAATCTTAAAGTATGTGCCATGTACAGATGTGACTAATGTATATTCTGTTGTTTGATGGAGTGTTTTGTAGAAGTCTGTTAGGTCCATTCGGTCAAGTATCAACTTTAGGTCTCATATATCTTTGTTAGGGCTGGGTACAGTGACTCATGCCTATAATCCCTCCACTTTGGGAGGCTGAGGCAGGCAGATCACTTGAGCCCATGAGTTTCAGATCAGCCTGGCCAAAATGGCAAAGCCCCATCTCTATGAAAAAATACAAAAATTAGCCATACATGGTGGCATGTGACTGTAGTCCCAGCCACTCAGTAGGCTGAGGTGGGAGAGTTGCTTGAGCCTGACAGGTGGAGGTTTCAGTGAGCCAAGATCGTACCACTGCACTTCAGCTTGGGCAGCAGACAGAGACTCTGTATTAATGTATTTATATTATATACTATATATTATATATTATATATATATAATATATAATGTATTAGTTTTCTGCTTTGATGATCTGTCCAATACGGTCAGTGGGATATTGAAATTTTTCACTTATTGAAGTGGGATGCGGTTATCTAAGTCTCTTCAAAAGTCTCTAAGCACGTGTTTTATGAATCAACTACATTTTTGAGGGAATTGTATCACCAAAAAAATTCACCAGCCTGTACTTAAAAAGCCTCTTACTGATCATTAGAATAATGCCAAATTCTTCAATATGTACAGGCAGCTTGTAAACACTGTACAGCTCTGAGAAGTGCATATTGTGCAACACCCACCTTGGATATAGCCAAATTAAATAATGGACAGGGCAGAATTTACCAAAGAGTGGAGTCAAGGACCATAAACACCAGTGGGCAAGATTATTTCTCCCAGACAGTCAAATTAGGATAATCAAAGAATTTCCTCTACACCTAGGGAGGGAACCTTCATAATGACTGTCATAGTGATTTTGTAATTGCTATGGACCAGCAACTATTGTGTGTCTCTTGTCCTTTCCAAATGGGGTATTAATTATGATTTTTTAATCCCTGCTCCACAATTCTATATTGGATGGGTAGGGGAGAGGAAAAGTAGAAAACTTGTTGCCCATGAAAAACATCTAGACTTGATGAACAGAACTGTCCATTAGCTAGAGATCCTGGTTGGATTTAGAGTTGAGGAGGGGATGTGTGATCCATATTTGAAAGGAATTATTTAACGGATGTGATAAGAAGATAGACTCTGGCAAGAGTAGCCTATGTGCTCACTAAATAATTTTCCTTTTCCTTCTCATCACACAGTTTAACTGCATTTTCTAACATCATTCACAGTTAGTCATGGACATATCACAGCTTTGGCTATTGAAATTTGGTAGACATGGGTATATATTTCCAGCATCTAATATAGTTTTCAAGATAGTAGATGCTCAACAGAAAATAATGAACACTTTCCTCTCCTCTCACACTTCTTTTCAATTTAGTCATTGTATAAATACTAATTGAGTACTCTCATTCTTTGGCCTGCTAGGACTCTCATGTATAAGGCTGATCCAAGACTTCATAATAACTTACAATCTGCAATATTTCACATACCCTCACCACTATCAGAATTTACTTCTCTTTCCTCTATGCCTTCTAAATTTTCCAAAATGATATCAATTAAACTGTTAAGCCATTATTAAGGGCATTCTCACTTGTTTCTTTTTTACTTCAATGCCCTAACTTTAGAGACACACTTTCATGAAGGATCTCTCAGGATGTGAGTTAGGTTAGTGAGGATTTGCCCTTTCTGATGTAATCTTTCCACAAGGATTACCCTGCCTCCAGAAATTGATAATAAGCCCGTTAGGGAAAGTTTTATAAAAACATATCACTCTAAGTATAATTTCTGGGAATTGCATTACCAGGCTCTTGACATCATTGATAAAAATACAATTGCAGTGGCATGAGTCTCAAACACCTCTTTGGAAAACAAAAATATGCCTGATAGATCACAAAGCCAAATTTAAGTTTTTTAATCTAAGATATCTTCACAACTGCAGTACTATTTGTCTTTCTTTTGTGTGATCCAAAATTAACTGTGAGCAATCTAAAAGAAATTCTAAAATGGTAAATATATGTGTTCTTTGAAAATAAACAAACACTTTTTAGACATGACCAGTTGCTTAAACACACTATTGATCATTATAATGAAAGCCCGAGTCTTTTACTAACACACAAAGTATAATCATTCTGGCTTACGAATTGTCTGTGACAAGGCCCTTCCCTCTCTTTTTTTTATGGTCTTTAAACATCACCTTCCTACACTTTTCTGTATATAGACTAATTAAGAAAATAACATTACATTTGATTTTCCTATTTTTATCCGAAGTGATTATCTTTAACAAATTCTTTAAATTATTCTGCTTTTTCTATCAGTGATTAATGTATTGTGCCTGGTTCCTCTTGCCTGCTAATTGTTTTATACAAGTGGATGCTAATATAAGCAATAAGGTTTTATTAATGTCCCAATCAAATATATTGAAGCATATATGTGTTAAATACACGAGAGCTAAATAGGTGATCTTTCTTAAAAGAACATTAGGTTTTGAACATTGATCCATATGTATTAATTAATGTCTCTTTCATAGCCTTTCTGTAAGATGATTAAAATTGTTTATATTTTATTATGTAAAACAGTACATTTATTAACATACAGATTTATTCACAAAGTATGAGAAACCACACTACCTGAAGACACAAGCTTGAATATAGTTAGACTCATAATTCAAAATTATTTTATATTTATTTCAAAATATATATTTTATTAATAAATACCTTAAAGTTTTGCCCTGCCAATTTTTTAAAGTTCTATTGTTAAATAAAATAGAAACTGGGCCAGGCATGGTGGCTTATATCTATAATCCCAGCACTTTAGGAGACTGAGGTGAGTGGATCACTTGAGACCAGGAGTTGAAGACTAGTTTGGCCAATATAATGAAACCCCATCTCTACTAAAAATGCAAAACAAAATAAAACAAAACAAACCAACCAACAAACAAACAAAAAACTAGCCTGGTGTGGTGGCAGGTGCATGTAATCCCAGCTACTTGGGAGGCTGAGGCAGGAAGATCACTTGAACCCATGAGTTGGAAGTTGCAATGAGCCGAGATCATGACACTGCACTCGAGCCTGAGTGACAGAGCGAGAATCAGTCTAAATAAATAAATAAAACAGAATCTGCTCAAACCTAAAAAGAGAAAAATAATTGTTAAATATGATACTCTTTTACTTCAAAAGTGTAGTTTCCATTATTAATAAACATCTGAAATTAGACTTGGCCGAAGCTTTAGTTACAAAAGCACATAGATACTTCAGGAAAAAAAAAAAAAAGATTTAGCAGAAACAGAATAAAACATTGATGTCACTGTAAATGTGATCATATGAAACAAAATTTAACTCTTTTTTTTCTCAATTTTCTAAGAGTTGTTACCTTGGAACCTTACCATAATGTTTTACTTGCTTAACTTTCGAAATTGAGGTGCTGTCCATGAATAAATTAAATCTGGTCATAGACAGTCTCTGAAATTCAATTTCTTCATTAATTCTTACCTATTTTTTTTAATTTGAAATTTCCAATATCAAAAATAAGTCATGAAGACAGATATCCTATCTGTCTATCTGAAGCCTGGTCAGAACAATTTGTAATAATCATAAGATAGATGCAAATGGTTCACAGCCACAATAAGATAAGCAAGGAGTTAGTAAAATTCAATAGGAAAAAGACAAACCATCTGTGATAGTTTTAAAACGCATAGTTTAAACTCTCTATTCAAAAACACGTTTTACTTCTCTCAGTGAGAAATTAGGTCTATGTATGATCTCTAGGATCTGGGTGCAGCCCTGTGACTGTTTCAACCGATAGAGTATGGCAGAGTAATGCTGTGTGACTTCCAAGGATGCAAGACAGTGCAGCTTCACTAGAACACTCACACTTGGATCACTCAATCTCTGTGTAAAAAGTTCACCTATTCTGAAGAAACTCTGCTATGAGGAAGCCAAGCTACATAGAGAGACCTTAATAAGTGTTCTCCTCAGCAGTCTTGGTCTTTGAGTCATCCCAATCCAGGTGCCAGACATATGAGTAAATGAGTTTGTGTATGTATTAGTATTATGTGTGTGTATTAATACTGGTGTATATTAGTTTCTGCAGTGGACTGATTTGCTGGTCCCCTCCACCAACAATTCATATGGTGAAATCCTAATTCCACTGTGATGGTATTTGGAGGTGGGGCATATGGGAGGTAATTAGTTCATGGGTGTGAAGCTCTCATGAGTGGAATTAGTACCCTTAAAAGAATAGGCCAATACTGCCCAAATAAATCTATGGTTTCAAATCTGTTCCTATCAAACAACCAACATCATTTTTCACAGAATTAGAAAAAACTATTCCAAAATGCATATGGAACCAAAAAACGAGCCTGTATAGCCAAAGCAATCCTAAGCAAAATGAATAAATTCAGAGGCATCACACCACTTGACTTCAAACTATACTACAAGGCTACAGTAACCAAAATAGTGTGATACTGGTATAAAACACATAAACCAATCGAACAGAATAGAGAACCCAGAAATAAAGCTGCATACCTACAACCAACTGATCTTCAACAAAATTGACAAAAATAAGCAATGGGGAAAGGATTCCCTATTCAATAAATGGTGCTGTGGTACCTGGTTATCCATATGCAGAAGAATGATGCTGGACCCCTACTTGTCACCATATACAAAAATTAACCCAAGATGGATTAAATACTTAAATGTAAGACCTAAAACTATAAAATTCCTTAAAAAATAACTAGGAAATACCCTTCTCGACATTGGCCTTGGCAAAGAATTTATGACTAAGTTCTCAAAAGCAGCTGCAACAAAAACAAAGATAGATACGTAGGACCTGATTAAACTAAAGAGCTTCTGACCAGCAAAAGAAACTCTCAACAGAGTAAACAGATAACCTGTGGAATGGGAGAAAATATCCACAAACTATGCATCTGACAGAGATCTAATATTTAGACTCTAAAAGGAACTTAAACAAATCTGCAAGCAAAAAACAAATAACCTCACTGAAAAGTAAGCAAAGGACATGAACGGACACTTCAGAAAAAGAAGACATACAGATGGCCAGCAAACATGAAAAAATGCTCAATATCACAAATCGTTAGAGAAATGCTAATCAAAATCACAATGAAATACCATCTCACACCAGTCAGAATGGCTATTATTAAAGAGGAGAAAAAAATCAGATGTTGGTGAGGCTGCAGAGAAAAGGGAACACTTACACATTGTTGGTGGGAATGTAAATTAGTTCAGCCACTGTGGAAAGCAATTTGGAGATTTCTCAAGGAACTGAAAATATAACTATCATTCAACACAGCAATCCCATTACAGGATATATACCTAAAACAAAATAAAGTATTCTATCAAAAAGACACAGGCACTTGTATTTTCATTGCAGCACTATTCACAATAGCAAAGACATGGAATCAACTTAGGTGGCCATCAGTGGTGAATCGAATAAAGAAAAGGTGGTACAGATACACCATGGAATACTACACAACCATAAAAAAGAATCAAATCATGTCTTCTGCAGCAAAATGGATGCCACTGAAGGTCATTTTCCTAAGTGAATTAATTCAGACACAGAAAATCAAATACTGTATGTTCTCACTTATAAGTGGGAGCTAAACCTTGGGTAAACATGGACATAAACAGAGGAATGATAGACACTTGGGACTATGGTGGAAGGTAGGAAGAGAGCAATGGTTGAAAATTACCTATTGGGTGTCATCCTCACTACCTGTCTGACAGGATCAATCATACCTCAAACTTCAGCATCACACAATATACCCACATGACAAATGTGCACTTGTATACCCCCATGAATCTAAAATAAAAGTTGAAATTTTTAAAAACAGAACAGTCCAGAGATCGAGTTACCTCCTTTCTCACCTTGTAAGGATACAAGAGGTCAGCAATCTGCAGCCTAGAAGGAAGTCTTTACCAGAACTGCACCATGCTTACTTCTAGCCTCCAGACCTGTACATAATAAGTTTTCATTATTTAGAAGCCACCCAGTCTACGATACTTTCTTTTAGTATCCCGAGCTCCCAGTTTCCTGCTATAATAAATGCTGCTATAATAAGTTACTACAATTGGTGACTTGAAACAACACAAATATATTATCTTGGAATCTGGAGATTAGACTTCCAAAGTGGGTTTCTCTGGACTAAAATCAAGGGAATTGACTTGGCAGGATTGTGTTCCTTCTAGAAGCTCTATGGGAGAAAATTTTTTCTTGTTTCTCTGGATTCTAGAGGCTGCTTTCATTCCTTGGCTTGTAACTGCTTCATCTGCAAAACCAGTAATGGCGAATTGAGTCTTTCTCCCATCACATCACTCTGACACTCTCTCTCTCTTACCTTCCTCTTTCTCTTATAAAGACCCTTGTGATTACATTGGGCCCAGCTGGATAATCCAAAATAATATGCCTATCTCAAACTATTTGATTTAATCACACTTGCAAGTTTCCTTTTACATATGTACCACAGTCACATGTTCTGGGGTTTAAGATGTGGGTACTTTTGGGGCATCATTCTGCCTACCATAAGGTGATACAACCAGAACCGGCTTTTTAATTTGCAGAGTCCAGTGTAAAATGAAATGCAGGACTCCATATTAAACAATTGTTAAGAATCTCAAGATAGCCACAGCAGAGCATAAAACGAAACATGGGGCCCTTCTAAGTGCAGATCCACGTGTAGCTGTACAGGCTACACATTCACTCTTTGAACTGGTTCTGGAAACAGCCCAGAGGTACCACATCACTCCCAGGCTTCTGGTACCCCCTAGCTGAAATCCCAGACATCATAGAGTAGAGACACCCTGCTATGCCTTTCCACATTTTCTGACCCATAGAACGCAGTAACACAATAAAATTATTGTTTTAAGTTGCTATGTTTTAGTTAATTCACTGTATAATAATGGTAAATGGAACACTATCTAATAGAAATAATATTATATGATAAAACATATGATTTTAGCAACAGGACTGTCAATAGTCAATAAATATACAAAAAAGCATATCAACTTTATAATTAGTCAAATAAATGCAAATTAAACAGTAACATCAGTTGGACTCTTTCACGTTGTCAAAGGATTGAAAACGTTGTGGAATGAAGAAATCTTGATGTGTTCATAATTTGTGCCAACATATTAGAAGGGCAAATTTTTAATACCCAAAAATATTTAAAGTAAACACGTCTTTGACCCAATAATTCTACTTCTGCAAGTATTCTCAGAGATTTCCTTGAGGTGACTAGTATAAAGATGTTTACTGTAGCATGATTTGAAACTGAAAAAGAGAGACGACCTAAATATATAATGATGAGAAGATGATTGCATAAAATACAGTACAGTACTATGGAATATGAAAGTAAAGAAAGAGTTATCTCAGTAAGAATTAATGTGGAAGTATTTTATAATATAATGTTGAATTAAAAGAATAAAATTTGCACAATAGTTTCCACTTAATCCTGCTTTTGTAAAAATATGTACATGTATGTTTATATGGAAAAATACCTGGAAGTTTATACTACTAAAACTTAATTGTTAATTCTGAGGGATGAGATTATAAAATAGGAAAAGGAATAGGTGAGGTGATCATAAAATTGGTTCTGAGGGGCAGTTCTAATTCACCTGTGTTCCTGAAGTAATTAAGTAAGTTTTAATTACTTTTACTTTTATTCTCAAATATATTCCAATTTGGCTAAAATGATCACACTCTAGGAATAGGAGCTATCACTTTTTATTTTGCGAATTTCTGTGCTGTTTGAATTTTCTAAAATGCGTATTTATTATTTTGTCACACACACACAGATTTTTAAAGAAAAATTTGGCAATTGTTCCAAAATTTTTAAGTGTCTATCTTTTTTATTAAACTTTTTCCCTTCAAGAGAAGAGGAAGGTACAAAGATTTTCATTAAAGTATTTTATTTTTTGTAATAATAAAAAGCTAGAAACAAACTAAATGCTCACCAGCAGGAAAAAGATAAACTATACACAATTGAGTGGAATACTAAGCAACAGTTTTTAAAGAATAGGTAGGTTTACAGGTCAATATATAGAGACATGGGACAATTGAAAGAGAGAAAGACAGACCGGAAGAGGGAAAGATAAAGGAAAAGGGAGGGGGGGTGAAAGGGAAATGGAAGGAAAAGAGGGAAGAAAGAGGGAGAATTGTAATAGTTAAATAATTTTTTAATAAAATAAAATAAATGCACAACAAGAGGAATGATTAAGTATAATTTGATTCAATCCAATAACATAGAATACCATACAACCATTAGCTGTGATCATAGACATTATTTACTACATAGAAATCTATTTATAATAAATTCTTACTATATAATTTTTTTGTTTAATAATAAATGAAAACTAAATTGACATAGAAAAAATTATTAAAATAAATACCTATGGCAAAATTATGAATATTTAATTTCACCTTTGTATATGTGCATTTTATAATTTTTACTCAAATAATATATACTTTACATAAAGGTTTATTTTTACTCTTACAAACAATACAGAAATATTACAGACAATAACGGGTTATTTGCAAATCAATTTGCAGTATTTTAAGCTTTCTATAAGTCTCATAATACACAAACACTGAATGAATTCAAGTCATTTCTAAAAAGATAACATCTCTTTTTCTCTTTCAAATTTTTGATGTTCTTAATAAGATGAAATAAATTAAGTCTAATTTTTCATATAATAATTTATGTATATGTATATATATATAAAGTTTTTTCAAAGTAAAATACATTACACATTAAGATTCAGCAAACTATTTTTTCCAAAACCAAGATCACAGTTCTGTAGCTTAAAATGCCTATAAAATGACCACGACAATTTACAAACCCACTGCAGATTTTTCACCTATTTGTATTTATTCTGTTTACCATTTTCATAATTCAATTTGAGTCTTGTGAGTTTCCATAAAGTCTGGCTTAATGGATTAGTTTCCAGGAAATTGCCTATGGATTAAATTCCCAAACTTAGCATGGCATTCAAGGTTGTTGGCAATCTAGACCCTCCTGACTTTCAAGCCTTATCTCTTGTAAAAGTCAGGAGGCTCTAGATTGCCAGTAATTTTGAATGTCATGCTAAAATTTGGCAATTTAATCTATAGGCAATTTATGCAAATTTATATATGCACTAACCTTACCTAGGCATAAAATATATTTTTTGTCTCCATGCTTCTTTGTTTTCTTCACCTGGAAAGTTTTTCCTCATTCTAATAAACTTGTTTCACAGATTCTCAACAGAGACGGTAAGCTAGAAGCACCAAAGGAATTTTGTAGTTGTTTGGTTGGTTGGTTTTACTTTGTTTTAACATGAATGCCCAAGCTCCATCCAAGGGATCTACTTAATCAGAATCTCCAGAGTTTAGACAAGATAAAGCCATAATTTAAAAAAATATACATGTGATTTTAATAGAACTAAAAGCCACTGACCTGAAACAGAAAGTAATTTCACCATGACAATTGTGCCCTTTCTGCACATCTACCTGGGAGTTATATTCAACTATTTACTTGTATTACCTTAATCTTATGCCCATTTAAGCAATTACAAGGTCTTATTGGTATAATTGTTTCCTGGGATACAATTTTTTCCCTCATTATGTCTGAAGACTCTGCCCCTTTTCATGTTCATCGCCTTCATAATAAGGCCCAACACAACATATTTAGACTATTGCAATAATTATCTAGTTGCCTCTAGTCCTAACTGCCTTTAATCCAGACCTCACAAATCAGAGGGATATTTTTTAAGTGGTTATCTATTGTTACTTGTCTGCATCAACATTTTATTAACTCCCCATGATATAAATGTCCATACAGTAAGGACCAATTCCTTCAGAATCTCTATAGGACATGCCCACCTGACCCATTTTAACTCAGATTCTCACCCTTTTTCCTTGTTTGCCTAATTTATCATTCAGGTTTTGATTTAAATAATTTCCTTAAAAGCCTTCCTTAACACTCACCCACCCCCGATCATAGGCACACATGACCCTAAGTTAGGCCTTCTTGTTATCTATTATCAGAATCTTTGCTTCTTTTTTTTTTTTTTTTTTTTCCTGTCACCCAGGTTGGAGTGTAGTGGCGTGATCATGGCTCAGTGCAGCCTCACCCTCCCAGGCTCAAGTGATCTTCCCCTCTCAGCTTCCTGTGTAGCTATGACTGTAAGCATACACCACCATGCCCAGCTAATTTTTCTATTTTTTGTAGAGATGGGGTTTCCCCATGTTGCCCAAGCTGATCTCGAACTCAGGAGCTCAAGAGATCCACCCACCTCTGCCTCCCAGAGTGCTAGGATTACAGGCATGATCCACTGCACCCGGCCTGGTAATTCTTTCTGTAGCCCTCATCGCATCTCTAATTACTTGCTTTCCCAGGTATTACTGTAAACTTTAAAAGAGCATGCACTGCTTTCCTAGTACATGGAGAGAATTCCGTGTTTAATGAATACATAAATGAATAAATTTGAAAAAATGACTGCAAGCAATTGTTTCCACTTACCAGATGTTTTGTTTTGTTTAAACACAATTTTAAAAATTAGAGAATGCCAAGCTAAATATTTTGTTGATTTTGTCTTAAAAAAACAAAAACTCTTGTTTTCTCTCTACAGATGCATTGAAGCTTTAGATGAAGAAAATGTTAATTATTATAAAACATATATTTTCATACAGGAAGAAACATAGTCACACATATGTGGATAGTGTATTAGTCATGGAGTGAGCCAGAAACAGATGGCACATCACGGAGGAGAGTTCAATAAAGAGATCCTTACCATGGTGTGGTTGAGCGTAGGGCAACCTCCATGCAGTCCTGCGGCACTAGTTAATAGCAAGCCAGCCCTCACTCCTTTCTTTCTTCAGTCTCCTGCTGGGTTTCCATTGGTAAAATCCCACTGGAAGCCAAAAGGGAAGGAGTTTTGATGTATCCCAGGTCAATGTCTCGGGACTGAGAAGAGAGTGGAGAGGAGAATAGAGGAGAGTGTGTCTCCAGGGGCAAACGGAGAACATGCAGCTGAGGGAAGACAGGGCATAGCTATCTGCATAATCCAGGCTCCTTTATCCACCCTCGCCCTTAAGCAGGACTATTAACAAGAATCAGAACACTTTGGTAAACAGAGATCAATAATATTTTTTCTTTTCAGATAAGGCAATAGCAAACAAAAAAAAAAAATGTACAGGCTAAAGCAACTAGCAAGGATAGCAATTTTTCCCTTCATTAGGCAAACAGAAAAATGGAAACAGGCATATAGGTTAACAATAAGAATATGTTTTCATAGGGTAGTCTTAAAAGTAAGCCTGTTGTCCTGTCTTAATTAATAGCACCCCCTTTCACTCTCATGAGTTTCTTAGTTTGAATGTCAAATTATATGGTCATGTTATCAAAATATATGAAGCAAAAGTTTTAAAAATAAAAATAGAAATGAACAAGAACAAAATAGAAGTTTTTATCAGATCATGCTTAATTTTGATCAAGTTAGTGTACAATAGCTAAATTAAAATGTAGCATATAAATAATGTAAATTTTTTTAAAATCTTAATTTTAAGGAAATTGGTTCCTATAGAGTTTATTTCACTTATAAAGATAAAAAATAAATGTATATAAGCTGCACAAAAGAGAACCAATATATTTCAAAACATGATGAAAATTTTGAACATAGTCTTTTACCCATTGTAGGGGCAAAAAGATGTAATAATGCTATGGGATCTTTGGGGTGTCGCTTTTCTGGCTGGAAATTTGTGGCCAGTGGTGCCCTTGCCCCAAGTTTTGCTAGGGCCCACTGGGCTTGTTCCACCCACTCAGACTGGCAGGCTGCGCTCAGCTAGTGACCTGGATCCCACGCCTCCAAGGGAGACTGTCAGTCATACGTGGAGCAGCGAGGGGTGTGTGAGCAAGTGTGGGGCCTGGCCACTGAGCAGTCAGACACACCAGCTGCTGCTGTGGCACGGGCAGCTCCAGGTGCAGCATGGGCACCAGCTCTCTGCAAGGGTGTAGCTGGACCAGGTGCATCACAGCAGCTTCCCTGGCTATCACCAGGGAATGCATTGATGTCCAGGAGCTCGGAGACATCAGGAACCATAGGGCCCCAAAGAGGGAGTCACAGCTCTGGCTCAGGGAGTTCCCAGGTCTAGGCTCCTCAAAGGGCCACAGCTCCTCTCTCCTTCCCTTCACCCACAATGTGGCAAGCAAGGGGCATGTTTCAGCCCTGTTTGTGTTACTGTTCTTTTAGCCTTGCCATTCGGCAGGCCCCAAGTTCTTGTCCTGCAACTAGGAAGAATGAGATATGCAGACAAGTGAAGGGTGAGCAAGATGAAGAGAAGCTTTAGTGAGTCATAGAACAGCTCAGTATCCTGCAGGGGGCAGCTCCTTTCTGCAGCCAGGGTGTCCCATCATGTGTTCAGCTCCTAGCACAGAGAGTAGCTCCTCTCTGCAGCTGGTTGTCCCATGGTCTGTTCTGTTCTGGCTGATCCTGGGGCTTTTATGGGACTCAAAGGGAGGAAACATGTGCTGATTGGTCCATGGGCAGCCATGGGTAGGCCTGGAAAAGGCACCACAAGCTCCCACTTCAGTCAATGGGACTGGAAGCCCAGCCCTCAGCCTTCAGGCCCTCCCTGGCCTGAAGGTGGGGCCTCACCAGGGACCTGCCCCCTTCCACCCAGGATCCTGCAGCAGTCCGTGTAGCAGTCCATGGTACCCAGGCTGCTTGCACCAAGTGGCAACTGCAGGCCAGTGCCAGGCTGTCCTCAGCACCCTCTTTGGCTCCCTCTTGTGCTTCTTGGTGCCCAAAATCCAGAGGGGATCAAGGCGACAGGGGGCTGTTGTGTCAGTGCTGTCCCAAGCATGTGCACCTCTGGCCAGGCTGTGACAGCACCTGGGCTCTGCCCCACATTGCTCCAAGATAGGAGCAGGCACTAACAGTGAGGAGAAACCAGGCAGTGGGAGCAGGCACTTCTGAGCCTGCAGGCCCGGGGTGGGGGCCCTTCCCAGGTCCCAAAGAGTACAGAGATGCCTAGGTCCACAGCACTGACTTGGGCAGTTGCAGCTGTGCCTGGGGATGGGCAGGGCTCCTGCCCGCTCCCAACCCCCAAGAGCAGAGGGAGGCCTGGGTCCACAGCCCCAGCTTGGACTGCTGCCTGCTCCCAGCTCCTGCCGGCTCCATGGAGCATGCAACCCCGGCCGCACACCCTCGCAACCTGGGCCGAGGGCTCCAAGTCCTCGCTGGGCCCAGGCTGGCATCCAGGGCAGGGGCGACATCACTGTGATCTCCATCCTGGGGCTCACCCTCACCTGGCTCAAGGTCCTACCCATGGGGCACCTCCAGGAGTGGATCACGGGCCCCGGGCCCAGCCACTGGGAGTTTCAGGTTCAGCATTACCCTGATGCAGGGTGGAACTGGGGACCCAGCCATGAGTGACCACGTGCAGAGCCACCTCCAGAGGCATAGAAACCCAGAGCCCTCGTGGGGTGGGCACCATGGCTGTACTGCTGGCTGGTTCCCCCAGGTAGGTGCCATTCCCACTTCCCACTCCAGGCCCCCAAAAATGTAACCCTAGCTCCCATCCCAAGCTGAGTCTCCACCCTCCATGTGCAAGTGCAGCACTGTTCCAGGCCCAGCTCTGTCTCAGGGCCCTTCTCTGCCCGACCGCACTGCTGCCTCACCGGTGGGTGACCTGGAGCAGCCCCATCATGGCTGCCCCCAGAGCAGTAGGTTGCAGGGGGCTGTCCACCTCCTCTCCATTCCCTTCCCACAGTGGCAATGTGATGCCAGTGGCCACTCCGGATAGCCTGCCGCTGCCATCAATAAATTTCTTCACCCATCATAAGGGTCCTGACAGACACTCTTATGACAAAGGGCAGGTTAACAAAAGAAAAGCAGCCAAAAATTTACTTAATCAAAGTTTTATATTACACAAGAGCCTTCAGGAATGAAGACCCAAAGACCCAGGGAAAACCGTCTGTGTTTATTCTTAAGTTCAATAAAGAATAGACAGCCATGTAGAAATGTGACTGAGTAAAAGAGTATGAGCTAACACTAGCAGACTGAGGGGGAAAACCCTGTAGGCTTTGTCTGTTCAGATTCTTCATGGCCTCTGTGTGTGGCATTTTTTTCCCAAGGTATAAGGCAGGACACCTATCACATGAAGGTCTTCAAAACAAGGAAGAAGGTCGTAGGATGACCTTTCTAGGTTTTATGACTTGAATTGGGGAAGAATAATTCTGGTGTCTATGACTTGATTTGGGGGGAGACAAGAGGACAGTAGAAGGTGAGAAAAGCCTTACTTCTGAGACCCTTCCAATCTTCTTCAGTTCAAAATAGCACACAAACACAACATATTTTGGGGTGTTGCGTTCTGAACCCTGATACCACAGTACCATAAACTAGAAACAAGTAATAAAACTTAAAGTAATGGTAACAATTACATTCTCAAAACATTGGAAATAAAATTATAATTCTCCTAAATCATTATAGAGTCAAAGAAGAAATTCAAATTGCAGTTAATATACTGGTGTAGAAGGCAAAAATGAAAACCCACAAAACCAGGCCTATGAAATTAGCAAAAATGATGTTCAGCAGTAAATTTATTGTTATAATATTTTTATTTCTAAAGATAGAAATAAAAAAATAAATATGCAGCTCTAGAAGTTAGAAAAAGGGGCAACTTAGCCAAAAAAAAGTAAAGGAAAATAAAAAGTAAAGAGAAAAATCAATGAATTAGTAGAAACATAATTTAATTATTAAATATATTCGATTCCTTATTCTAGTAAAATAGATGTTATTGAAAATATATTTTAAATGCTTGATGTATTAAGTTTTCTCAAAAAAAACATACACCAATTGGAAAATAATTTTAAAAGTTATTTTAAAATTGCTAATGCTTTTATTTTTATTAAATCCATTAAAATATAAATCATATAAATATTAGTTTGAAGAGTTATGAGGAAATTATTTGTCATTGTTTTTGTAATTTTTTTCCTTGCGTTTTTTTCTTTGCACTTTTACTTTCAGCAAAATAACCTCATTTTACTGTGGTTTCTTTCAAATTTTTAAGAAACTGATTTTTACATTGCTCTGTCACACATAAGATGCACTTGCTTTTATTACAGTAGCAAATCTTTCATCTCAAGGCATCAAAAATTTGTTAAAAAAAGGAAAACTAAGCTGCTTTTACTTATAAACACAGACAAATACTGCTGAAAAAAATAATAAAATAATAACAATAAAATTTCAACAGCATTAAAAGAATTCACCACAACCACATAGCATTTTGTGTAATTATTATTCAATATTAAATTGATTAATATATGACATCAATTTATAACAACAAAGCAGATGATTGCTTCAATAAATATTAATAAGGAGCTTAATAAAAATGCAGTATCCCTGATTTAAAATATAAATAAAATCTAGGTAAACTGAGATCTCCACTATATGACAAACCTTTTATTAGTAAAAAGGAGATAACATTATTTGCAGATAGTATGATTATCTTCTTTTAAAACCCGAGATACTTTTTTGACAATAATTAACATGAATAACAGCACAGGCAAGTGGTCAGTTGCACCAGTAAATGCAATCACCCTCTGTGTGTATCTTTGCAAGTTTTTGGTTATATAAGCTATGGACTTAATGCTCAGTTTCACTATTCAAACACTACTTGTACAAGATCAAGTTAACTATTCCTAAACCATGAGGTTTACATCAATTTGAGGTCTGCTGTCATCTATTGTGCTGTATTAGTCCATTTTCACACTGCTGATAAAGACATACCTGAGACTGGGCAATTTACAAAAGAAACAGGTTTAAAAGTTCCATGTGGCGGGGGAGGCCTCACAATCATGGCAGAAGGTGAAAGGCACATCTCACATGGCAGCAGACAAGAGAAGAGAGCTTGTGCAGGGAAACTCCCGTTTATAAATCCATCAGATCTCGTGAGACTTATTCACTATCATGAGAACAGGACGGGAAAGACCCGCCCCTTGATTCAATTACTTCCCACTGGTCCCTCCCACAATGTGTGGGAATTTGGGGAGTTACAATTTAAGATGAGATTTGGATAGGGACACAGCCAAACTACATCATGTACTTACATCAAAATAGAGTTTTTCTCTTTCATAATATTTATCCTTCGTTAGAGTAAAAATGGCTTTCAAATTACCAATAAAATGACAGACACCAATATGTACTTGATTCTTTAAGAATTGTATATCTTGTATTAATTTAATCTAAATGTCAACTCTTTCCTCTTAAATTCCATAGAATTGACACAAACTCCGTCCTCATTCAGGGGGAAATCCAGTGTTCTCTCCAGGATGTCTGCAGATGCTAAGGTCATGATGTAATTTAGTCACGTCTGCCCACTCTGTGTTCCTTGGTCTTCTCTCTTTCCTCTTGCCACTATCTTATTTTTCCTCTTATTTGGCTTTCCCCAAGCCCAATTATCTGTTCATTTCTGATGTTAAAGCATTTGGCAACTCTCAAACAGTCTCTTTCTTCCCTCTTTAAATTTTTACAGCCAAAAAGCTTAACTCTGCTTCTCTAAACAAACAAGCAAACAAGTCCTTTCCCTAAGGAGAATTCCTGTGTCTCCTGCAGTCAGTTTACCCATTACAGTGTGTAATTAAATCTGCATATTATCAATATTACCAGCTTATAAAACAGTTTTGCATAGAGGTTAAAAACCCATTAAATGGCTTTGGGCCTGTCTAGAACTCCTCCCTCATCAGCTGTGCTGACCACTAAAGAGCTGAGTCTCCTCTTCAACCTTCAAGTTCCTCATCTATGAAAGATAAGCCATAGAAGAATCAATTTCATGGGTTATTGTGAAGCTTATGTGAGGTGTTTATTTAAAAATATTTACCAAAGTGCTTGGCTCATATTAGGCCTCAAATTAATTATTTTTATTAATAGTATTTTTGCCAGTTTGGTGCTTAAGCTTAATAGAAACATTACTGTTTTTATAATAATTATAATGCTTAATAGTGACAAGTATACATATAGGAATACATAAGTGTACTTTAAAAATCAATGTTTTTTCTTTATGAGATCAAAAAGCTATCATAAAATTAGAATAAAATACTATACTTGCACCCTTGCAATAACAAAAATATTAACTAAGATAATCCTAGCAACAAAAGTGTAGGGTACGTGAAGGAAGATTCAGGGAAAAAGCCAACTTGGGCTGTTTCTCAATCAGAAAACAACATTGCCTAGATAGCCAATCACCACCCACGATAGATTCATAGTTCTAAAGTAATTCTAATAAAATACCAATAGGTTTCTTTTTTCTTCCCCCTCCCCATGTAATTACTCAATGAGTTTACCTTGCCCACTGCCTAGACAAAGCCAATTTATCAAGACAGGGGAATTGCAATAGAGAAAGGCTAATTCACACAGCACCAGCCATGCAGGAGACCAGAGTTTTACTATTACTCAAATCAGTCTCCCCAGCCATCCAGAGATCAGAAATTTTAAGGATAATTTGGTGTATGTAAGACAGACAGCTGAGAAGGGCTCCAGCTGGCCTGTGCACTGGGAGAAATGCACACTGGGGTGGAGCTACAGAAGTCTGCACCATTTGCAGTGAGGAGGAGCCTGGCCCCTCTTCTTCCTGTATGGAACCTGGGATTCAATCTGTGAGGCAGGAAGCCCATGGGCATGAAGCATACTCTCTCGATTCTCTGAGTCTCTGTTTCCTCCTTTTTTTTCCTTTTCAACCAAGAAATCCCATTTTTTCTCACTCTTCAAATCGTCTGTGAGCCTAAATTTTCATGGCTGTGTGACAAGGACCGCATTTTTAGGTGAACTAAGGAAAAGTCCCACAACAGATGGGGGAAGGCCAGTGAGTCAAGAGTGCTGATCAGTTGGGTCGGAGATAAAATCATAGGGAGTTGAAGCTGTCCTCTTGCGCTGAGTCAGTTCCTGGGTTGGGTGCCACAAGATCAGATGAGCCAGTTTATCCATCTGGGTGGTGCCAGCTGATCCATCAAGTTCAGGGTCTGCACAATATCTCAAGCACTGATCTTAGGAGCAATTTAGGGAGGGTCAGAATCCTGTAGCCTCCAGCTGCATGATTCCTAAATCATACTTTCTCATCTTGAGGCTAATTTGTTAGTCCTACAAAGGCATTCTAGTCCCCAGGCAGGGAGGTTTGTTTTGGGAAAGGGCTGCTATCATCTTTGTTTTAAACTATAAACTAAGTTTCTCCCAAAGTTAGTTCAGCCTACACTCAGGAATGAACAAGGACAGCTTGGAGGTTAGAAGTAAGATGGAGTTAGTTGGTTAGGTCAGATACATTTCACTGTCTCAGTTATAATTTTGCAATGGCAGTTTCACCCACACCCTAGTCTCTCTTTTTTTTTAACTTCAGAAATTTATTCTCAATTTCATCTCAAAGGCTAAAGGTTAATATAACATAAAAACTCTTCAAAATATTGTCTTCTTCCTGAGAATGACTTGTTGACCTTTAGGAGGTATTAGTTTTTCTGTGATACATATTTAGGAAATAAAGATGCTCATAACTAATAACCTTACTTTCCTCTTGTCAGTGAATCCAGAATTTCTAAGTTTGTTGTTGTTTAAGACAGTGAAGAGAAACAAGATAGGATTCTATCAGAGTTCCTGGCACAATTTGTCTACCTAACTTTTTCCCTAAGAGTGTTTTCTTTTTCCTCTCTCACCCTCTTAATAAGAATGTTAAGATCCTGAAGTTTTATAAAAGACAACGTGTCTTAGTATTGGCATCCTTGTATGGTGGAATATCTCTAGGCTGGAGAAATGTATTCTATTCAAATTCCAGCCCTCTTTTATTTTGGCATCAAAAGGCATTTGTGTTTTCTGCAGCAAAAATGAAAAATGATAGGACCACCTTTTTACTGTTTTCTCCTACTAGGCAGAGGGTTCACTCTTGAGGGCACACATATTTTTTTTTTTCCTTCCAATAATGCCATTTTATTTTTTAATAAACACGAAGTGAATGTTTTCTGAGAGGAGAAAGACATGGCCTCAGAGAATTCTAATACTGACTAGGTTGTTTATCTTCTAACCGAAAATGTATTTATTGTTTGCTGCACCTTCACTCAACTTGCAGTCTAAGTTTGAGAGGGGGAGAGAGACAGAGAGAGAGAGAATTGATTAAGGAAGAAGATAGGAAACTACAGGAAGGAAAGTGTTTTAGGTCATCGGTTCTTAACAGCCATCTTTTCTGCCATATAGAAATCATAAAGGAAATAATTTAAAATTGGCAAACAATGTCAATCTTTCTAAAAGCTTATTATGTTATAAAGAAAGTCAACCTATATATGAATAAATGGAGTTAAAGAAGAAAACTCAACCTTAGTTTTCTTCCTCTGTCTTTATCCTCTTTATCATCTCCTAACATTGGACTACTTTAAACTTTCTTGAAAATTCCTTCTCTTTGATTCTCTGACCTAAGTAAAGTTACCTGGGGATGACCTCTGTTTATCCTGCCTTCTTGGAAATGTAGCCATCTCCTAAAGTTTTGTCCTTAAAACTCTTCTCTTCTCTTTCTGCACTCTTCTATTCAAAAAACACAATCATCCCTGTTGGCTCAATTATCACACTTAAGGAAATTTACTCCTAGATCTGTCTCTTCGTTCCTGATTACAATTCCCTAGTTGCAATAACACACTCAACATTTGTGTGTTATTTTATATCTAGACTGTTTTCCAGTTTCTTAATTCGAAAAGTCAGATTCATATTTTTTATCCTTTTTTACCCTCAATTTTATAACCAGTTCCCAAATCTCAATGCTTTTTGCATTGCACGTTCCTCTTCCCATTCTTATTGCCACCACCCGGTTTGAACCTTTTTTACTCCCTACCTTGATTGCCAGGATCACCGGTCATGTCTTGCCCTTCCCCACTAGTATTTATCCATCCTACACACTGTGGTCAGCTTAGTTTACTGAAAGCATTACTGAGATCCACTCCACCTAAAGAAATCACAATCTCCACTTTAAGATCCATTTGAAATTCCACTTCCTCCATGGCATTTTTCCTCTGTATACACACTATAATATCTTTATAATATCTTCCTTCTTTTACATCCCGTAATATTGAGTGTGTTTTATGTCAGTTGCCTTACCCCTATAGCTATTTTTGTGACAAAGCAGATAGAAAAAGAGAAATTCAGAACTTTTCAAAAAACCAGTATCACAAAAATGAATCTATGTCTCTCAATGTTATATTTTGCATCCTTTGCATATGTAAACTTTCAGAGTATTAATTTGATAACTGTTTTTCAGCATTCTTTGAATTCTTCATTCACTTGAATGTTACACATTAAGACTGAACTCTCTTAATTATTCAAAGACTATGATATAAAGTAAGATTGACACCTTCTGGGAAATGGTAATCTGGTACAAAACAAATGTAACTAGAAAGAGTGAGAGACGACATGGAATGCAACCTGTATGTACTATTATAGTTTTGTGAACTTTGAATTGGATTTCTGAAATAAAGCAGCTCACTTTTGCATTATCTGGAACCTGTCCAAAATGAAACCTCAACGACCTGTGATTCCTCAAGGCCACACAAAAGCCCAGCTCTAATGATGAACAATAACCTCCATTCTTCCTGTTTCTTAGCCTACTGTCACTGATGGCTTTTTAAATGGCTGCAAAAGTGACAATTACCCAACTCTCAGAGAAAAAAAAAATGTACTGCCAAATCAAGGGTGTAGCTAGCTCATTTATACAGATTAAAAATATCAATATTCTTTACCACTATTTTTCATCTTGCCCTATAGATATAGAATCACCCAAAAGCTAGCGGCCCAAAAAAAATTACATCATTTTTTAGTATTTTCATGGTACAAAATTGTTCTCATATGGCTGGTAATCTGAAAGATGGCTTATATTTAAAAAGAACTTCAACCAGAAATTAGCACATTTGGAGTCCACGTGACCATGGTCACAATGTTGAACAGCTCTCTTGACCTTATTCCCCACTTTTTGTTTTCCCTAAGGAGAAAGAAGTATGTTAACTTAGTTAAGTATTCAAATTAAATATCTTAAGTGAAAAATACTCAGGTCTGACTGGAAGAAAGAGGAGATTGAGTAGAAGGAAGAGATGACTTATAACTAAATTTTTGTATGCACAGTATGAAAAACAAAATGAAGTAATGTCAAACCCAGTGACTGCATGCTTCATAAAAACAGTGCTATCTCTCTTCACTTCAGTGAAAAGAAGCTTCCTCGAGTTACTTAAATGATTGGAGGCAAACATTTTATGGCAAAGAGAAGCTTTCAGCTGGAGGTTTAAATCCTTTAGATTTTTAGAACACATGAAAGTCTGAAGTAATCTAGAATAAACCAAAGCAGCATCTCTCAAATTCTTTTCTATAGTTTGTTTGTTAATAGGATCTCTTAAACTTTTGGAAATCCCAAATAACGCTGTCAAAAATTTGAATATTTAACTCACCCCACAGATTAATATTTTTGAAAATATTTATAATTAATAGAATGATCAGACTTTTGCTACATGATCCATAAGGTAACATCAGACTTAAGTCCTAGAACATTTACTTAAGTAATAAAGTTGAACTGAACTTCACTCCTAGTAGAATTCTTGCTTAAAAATAAGAAATAGCTCTCCTCCTTTTTGCTGTCTTCTAAAACCCACTCTTAAAGCCACTTTGGTTTGTTAACTTTCATATCATGTATTCTCACTACAGCCTTCAACACCTGAAAAATTAGTGGAAGAATTTGACTGATTATAGAGGCTGTTTTCCTTGTTCCACGGCTTGTTCTAAAAGGGATACTCAGCAGAACTTGCATTTTTTTCTTTCATTTTGTGCTGTCTGCATGAGTAATTACCTCCCTGATTTCTGAGATGCAATTGAGTAGCTTCCACATTAGAAAAATCCAAAGATTGATAGAGCCATCTCTCCTAAAGGATTAGACTGCTGCTGTAATTCCACGGAGTAGGTCATTCAAATAGCAACATGCTACAAAGTTTAATTTATCTGGTTTTTAAAAGCTAGATATTGTTACCAATTCAAGGGAAACTGGAAAGGTCTCATAGGTCTTTTATATAGGTGATGATCTTTTATATTCTCCTGCAGCATTGCTTCCTGTCCTCACGGAATGTGTCATCCCAGGAGATGACCAAGGTTCAGAGCTCACTATTTTGAAAATAAAGCATATGACAATTAATTTATTCATCTGTTAATTATAATTTCTGAATATCTGTGCTGATAACTTCAGAGCAAGCTGAAATCAACAGTGAAAACTTCTTTGCAGTATTTGAATTATGAAGAAGCTTTATAACCTGCTTCAATAATGAAGAATTACTTCTTTTAAACAGGTGTCATCGAGTCAGGTAGCCTGTCATGGCAAAATAGCATAGACTGGTGGCATAAAGAATAGAAATTTATTTCTCACAGTTCTGAGGGCTGGATATCTGAGATCAGGGTGCCAGCATAGTCAAATTCTGGTGAGGGTTCTCTTCCTGGGTTGCAGATGGCTGCCTTCTCACTGTGTCCTCACAAGGTAGGGGGAGAGAAAGCTATCTCTGGTGTGTCTTCCTCTTTTATAAAGACACCACTTCTAGCAAATCAGAGATCCCTGTCTTTATGACCTCATTTAATCTTAATCACTTCCTTAATGGTCTAATCTCCAATACAGTTATACAGGGGGTTAGAGCTTCAATATATGAATTTTGGAGGGACACAATTCAGTCCATAACATAGTTTGAAGAAAAATAAAGAGCCAGTGAGAATTCACACATTTATATGCATAAAATCTGTACAATTCCCAATTCATGTTATGTGTGAAATCTGGGCTTGGGCTCTGGTTCTTTTCTTTCTTTCTTTCTTTTCTTTCCTTTTTAAACTAATCAGTCTGGTGGTCCCCTGTATCAGGCAGGGTATCTGGCATGCATACTACAGAGATTGCAAAAACCATTACAAATAAAATTATTTGAGCTAGCCAAAGAAAACTGAATCAAATTTTGTTTATTCCCTCATAGTTTTCAAGTTAGCTTGTTTATTATGTTTACAAGCTTATGTAATTTGTTGCAGATGTTCAGTGGACAGTTGTGTAAGCATTCACTGTTAGAATACTTTTTCATAAAATCCATTTTCCAAATGTCTCAATAATGACAAAAGACCCCCTAACAGAATATTAAGCCAGGAAATTCATCTAAACATCATAACTGTAATCATAAGTGGTACAAGCTGTAGTTGCTGTCTGATTAATTTTGGCTCAGTGTAATGTTGCTGGAATGATTATTTTTGACTCAATTTTTTTCTCTTTAAATAAAAGTAAACACCAAAGTGAAGAGGATACAGGAAGAAATGGTGGCCTTTTAAACTAAATTATCAATAAAAGCAATGAGTTTAATTCTCAGGTAATCTTACAAAAATGTGCTATTTTCTAGCAGCAATATTGAAAATAGACTCATACTTTCTAGATAAAATGACTGTTTATTCATTTAAATATATTTTTACTCTATTGGCATAGTTGGGTACATTTGTTTAAAAAAGTTTTCTGTTATATCATTTATTCTTGGCTTTTAAAACTAGTTCTGCACCATAGTCAGTTTAACTGAGAAGCAAGATCTTTGTAAGTTCGCTGCACATTTAATTAATAGAAATCCAACCTCCCAAGACAAACCACAGATGCTGTACATATTTAGCAGGGTCTTCTAACCAGCTGCACTAATCTGGGCTGTAACACTACCCTGTAGCTAAACATCTGGACAGAGCTAGAAAACAGAATAATAAATAGTTTTAGATTTCTTTGAGACAGATGCCTACAGGTGACATCACAAAACATAAACATGGAAATAGAAACAGAAATATTTGTTGCCTGATACAGTATTACAACTGGAAAGACAGGTCATGCAAATTTCTCAATACTGCCCTCAACAAATTTGACTTAAAACAACACCATTTTCCATTTTATAACTAGCTGTCAGATTGCATAGTATAAAATCTTAGAGTTCAAACAGAGATGAGGTAGTACAGTTATAAAAATTGCACCACATTCTGAAAAAGCTAAAGCACTGGCTCTCTTATGATTTAGTACTTATGTTAGAAATAAATTTAACTTCCCTAGAGAGCATCATGTCAAAAAAAATGCTCTTATATCCTAACCCTTCCCATTTTATTAGGACACTATTGAATTCACCCTAAGACTGGTGAGAACTGGTTGGTTCTTTTAAAGCTTCTATCAGAGGGGTAGATTTTTCTAACTGTACAGAATTTAATAGGGTAGTTGACATTAATTTTTTTTCATTTTAACACAGTTGGAAGTTGAAAAGACTTCTATACCAGTTGCTTTGAGTATCATGCTTCCAGAGTAGCCAAACAACTTCTCCTTGTTTTCAGGGTAGATTTAAACTTCTTTTGATGATACAGAGAAATAATAAAGAATGTCTTATCCCTAATGGCAAATTTTCATTGTAATAGATAGAAATTCGAACTATAGTTATACAATAGACATATTCCTTCTAGAAAGGGATTAATTGTAAATATCTCTCCCTTTCTCAGATTAGAAATCAAGAGCTATCATACTCAAATAATTTAAGCCTAAAATAAACATAGCCAATGCATACACGATAGGTTATTTGAAAACTTTAGTTTGATTCTGCAGGAACACTATACATTTAGAAAATAGTTCTTATCTCCCTGGGAACTCATAGCTCATTAATTAAGGTCTCCATGTAATCCTAGATAAAATGTGATAAAGTTTTATTTTTTAATTCAGATTTGTCTTTCAGTAATTTGGAATAAACATTCACAGTTCAGAGTTCGTTTTTATCCTTTCAATGTTATTTCAAATATATCTAGAAAGTGAGCCTTAAAGGCTTTCTCAGGAATGCAAACTTAGATATCAACATTCATGGAGGACAATATTGTTCTCTTAGGTTCTTAGACCAAGGGTATTTTTTTTCCTATCATATCTTTTAGAAGATTTATTTGCCTCTATATTCTGATAAAATGGCTGTCTTCATATGAAAAAAAAAAATTTAGAGGTTTTTGAATGTTTATTATCCTTTCTATTGTAGGATAAAATAGTCAAATATATGCTGTTAAGAATTCACAACATCGCTATAGCTGAAAAAAACAGAAGTTTACCATTTGACGATGAGAGAGGAAAGAATACCCTGAAAACTGATAGTTTACTGAGCATCATTTTTACCATAATAAAAAGGTAATTAAGTTTCATAAAGTGTGTTTAGAATGGTATCAAATGAGGAAAAAGGATTTTCTCATTCTAATGTTCAGTATCCTGATTGAAAGACAGCCCAGGGCTTGGGGAATAGAAGAATCCTGGAGAAACTTCATTAGAGGATAAGGTCATATCTAGACAAAAACCAATAAATTAAAATATAATAGGATATAATTGTACAAAAATAGAAGGATAAATAAGCTGAACATAAAGACATGGATTAAGAAACTTGTATTTACTTCATTTATAAACACATTTATGTGTATTTGTATATAACTATATAGCTAGAAAGATGGGTAGATTAATAGTTATATAAATATATCTATCTATATTCACAAATCTATGCATATATTTTTTCCAGGAGCAAAAGTCTAATATTTGATAGAATATTTCCTCCAGATAGCAAGAAACAAATCCTACTTCTACAGTGTAACACCTTGTTATTATTTTACGTTTATTTCAAAATGCCTCATTGTAAGTATATTATGTAGCATACTCCCCAAATTTTTGCTAAGACAGCAATATGTAGGAAAAATTATCTTGTCAGTTTACTCTGTATAACATACTTGACTCAAATTATTATTTGGAAACTATTCAGCCCAGATAACAATGCGTATGGGGTATCCTCAATAATATATTTATATATTTTTAAAACAATTAATTGGAAAAGATTGATATCAAAATTGTGGGGTAAGGGCTATATATAGTACAATCAAAACATTACATATTATATATACACATATATACTATAGGTACATGTATATAATACACATATGTAATATATACACACAACACACATATGTGTACTTACACGTATAATTATGTAATATATATGCCTAAATAATATATTTTAAAATCATATATTGTCTATGTAAAATATAAGTATATATATTGACATGTAACAGGATGGATTAGGCAAACCCAAGAGATCATCAAATGTGGAGAAGTCAAAGGTGAGTATCCCCCACTGAGTTACCTCTCTGATTGCTCTGCTGCTCCGTGAACACATCAGGTATGTTGCCACCTTGAGCCACTGGATTTAGCTGCTCTCTCCCTGTGGAATGTTCTTTCCCCATACAGATGCACATATTTCTCCATTAACTCTTTCAAATCTCATTCAGGTTTCAACTTGTCAGCTTGCCATAAGAACTTCCAGGCCCCCTATTCAGAATTGCTCTTCTACACCCCTAGTGCTTGTACATCTTGTCCCCTTAGTTGCTCTAGGTTTGATTGTTGTGGTGGTGTGGTTGTTTTGTGACGGTGATTGTAAACTACTTATTACTTTTGTTATAAGTAGTTTAAATTAAATATAACAACAATCATTGTAGTAGTATAATAACTATTCATTGTTACTAATAGTTGTAGTTACAACTAATAGTTACTGGGATTCCCCCATGAAAAGAGGACACCTTCCTGGCCTGAGGCTGTGGGGATTTAAGACATAGAGATGGCATATACTACCTTATAAAATGTAAATTCACTGAATTTTTTGGATAAAAAAAACACCTCACATTTTGACAGCACTTTATTCCATTGGATCATCACAAGATGGAGTTAGGACAGATATCATCAGTCTTCATTTTTCAGATGAGGAAACGGGATTTAAACAAATTAAGCTTTTCAAGGTCAAATCTCTAGTAAGCGAAAGAACTAGGACTATAATATGTCTCTGGCTTTTAATCTAATGCTGTTTTTTCTAAATCATTCTGCTACCCTTACATCAAAGCCCAGGTCACAGCAACTCTGATTTACTGAGGGTACTGATACCAAATTGAGGGCAACCTGAAGCAACACTCATTCCAATTCATTTCCAGTTTGTACGATTCTTTTTCCCCCACTAGCTTTAAATTTCATCATTCTCTCCAATAACAGTAATAACCAAGATTTATTGGGGACCTACTCTCGACCATCATTATACTAGTTTTACATTGCACTGTTTCATTTATATCCCATAGTATAGGAACCCAAGAAGAAGAACTGACAGAGAGAAAAAGAAAGAGAATGAGATTGTGTTTACTCAGACTTCTTCCAGGAATTCTAATAAATCAATTGACTGACTAGGTTTCAATCATTCACATTTCTATTCTTTCTAAATGTATCCAAGATGCAAAGATATCTGCTATCTAATAGGAAAGTCGGAAATCATTCCCTCTATTTGCACTCAGAACAGAATTTCTTAAGCCTAACAGAAAAGAAAGTACATCATTTATGTCCCTTATTTCATAGGACCTCTTCAAGTCCCAGGAGAATGTTCTGTTCATTAAGCAGTAAGCCTGGGGTTATTGGCAAAATTTCACTAAATCCTTCCACATCACTTACTGCTGGCACGGATTTCTGTGCAAGAGAGCACATATTCTCCATCCTGGTGAAATGCCTTGTACTGGCTAAAGTGCAAACCAAATTTCCTGCATCTTAACTCCTGAGGGGAGTGCCTCTCCTCATCTTATCACCTATAACCCTACACTCAATTTCCTGGTCCAACCCTCTACTAGATCTGACTCATAAGGGATTAAGGAGAGGATTGAATAGAGGCATGCTGATCTCCAAAGGAACTGAATTTACTTCCTGCATACTAAAATCTTACTGTCATGCTTTATTTTCTGAAGGGATTTTTCCTCCAATAGCCTCAAATGAGATTGGGAACCCTTCTCCAGAAACTGAAAACTAGTTTTTAGCCTGTTAATTCACAAGTCACTGGAAAATCTGGTTACATTACCTGAAACAAGCCAAAGGCTATCACCAGCTTCATCTTAACTAGGTGGAATGATCACCAAAGATACCTGATCCAAGAGGCATTCCAATAATCTCTCCCCAGAGTGTGACACGTGGGAGGGGCAGTGCTTCTCAGAATCTTTGTGCTTATAAAAAGGAACTAGATAAAGAAAAGAAACTAATTAAACAAAGCAAAAACAAACAAGGCAGCAAGGGCAAACACACTGTAATAAAAGATAACAAACAAGTTTTTTTTTTAATGCATGGGTTCAAGGATTTTTAATGCACAGATTTAGAAATTAAGGATAATTGATTCTAAGACACACCTTTTTCAGTTTAACATCTCTAAAATCAGAATCATAGTGGTACAAAAAATAAGGTGCATCTTACAATGAAATAATTTATGTTGCTATGCTCTTATACCTAAGAAAAATAATAGTTATCAAATATCTTACCAAATTGTTTTGAGGTGACTTTCAGCATATAAAGAAAATTTCAAATATCTTACCTATCAGAAACTGCCTCAGAAAAATAAAAACAGAATCTGGTTTAGGAAAAATAGTTTTTATGCTAAAATTGTAATAAGTAAATTGAAGGCATTAGAACAGGAAGCAAAATGCTGGGGAGGTAATTAATGATTTAAAGTTTCTAGTCTGACTGGAAGCATTCATTCCACACACTGAAGCATAAAAATTATGTTTATGATTATGATATTATATCAGAAAATAATAAATGTATGAAAGTTATGTTTTATAAATATTTTAGATAAAATGTAAATATTACAATATAATTTTCCATAGAATTCTTATCTTAGGAAGTTGAATAGAGGTCAGCTTAAACCCCTTTGATGAAAAATCTTAGGGTAAACCAAAATACTTGTTCTATTAAAATGTCACCAATACCAATATTACTAGAGCTTCTACAATACTTACTGTATTATGTGTTCTGACCCAGGCATCCGTCATAAGGAACATGCTTGTGGGGACAATCTCCGCTAGATGCCAGCAAGACAATTTTAAGAGACTCCAACTTACTCTGGGGATGTGGTATATTTGTCAGTAGACTCAGGCTCAGGAATCTGCATAATGAATAAATATGTGGGATTTATTAGCATATTCATTTTTTAATAAAAGTACAGTCAATCCATGTAACAGTAAAGGACTAAAAGTAGAATTAGATGATAGAGGAAATGTGGAGAAGGTATAGCTGGTTGAATAGTGGTCTCCAAAAAAATATGCCCAAGTCCTAACACTGGCACTAAATGTGACCTTACTTGTAAGTCTTTGTAGATGTAATTAAAGATTCGCAAATGAGATCATCCTGGAATTAGGGTAGGCTCTCAACCCAATGCCTGGTTTCCTTAAAAAGAAGGGAGAGATTTAAGAGATAGACATATAAAGAAGTCCATGTGAAGACAGAGGTAGAAAGAGGTTGGAATGGTGCAGCTACAAGTCAAAGAATGCCAAAGATTGCCTGCTGCCACCAGAAGTTAGGAAAGAGGCATGGAACAGACTCTTCTGCGGAGCCTTTAGAAAAAAAAAAAATCTCTAACACTTTGATTTCAAACATCTCACTTCCAAAACTGTGGAAAAAAATTAATTTCTGTTGTGGTAAGACACCAAGTTTGTGGTAATAGGTTACAAAACCTCCAGGAAACAAACACAGGAATTGAGAGTAAAAATGCAGACAGAGGACAAAATAGGGAGTGAAACAAAGTATTGTGCAAATGAGATGAGCTGGTAGACTACGCCATTACTTACCCTAAAAATATTAGAAGTGCTAAAGGTAAGTAGGTAGCTTTAGCACTGGCTGCATTTTTTTATGATAAAATAAGACTTTGTCAGGTGCCATCATATGATCTGCTCTTCAGTTTCCATTTCCAAAACAATAGGAAGTATAGCAGAAAGATTAAGCATATGGATACTGAAGGCTAAACTGCCTAGTTTCACATCCTCCTCCATTGTACAGCTTGTGTTTCATATTTGTGTGTTTGTTTCATCTGTAAAATGGTGATGATCATAAGACATATCTCAGAGGTGTTGAAAGGATTAGATGAATTAATATATATAAAGTGCTTAAAAGAGTAAAAGTTCTATATATGTGTTTACTTTTATTATTCAAGGTATTGTTGCCATCAAAGTTTGTGAATTCTCTAATTTTAACTCAACAATGTTACAGATCTAATGCACAGATTTAATTTTTGAAGTGAGCAAATCATATTACATTACAAAGAGGATGAAAATGAGAGTAGGAACTCCAAAAAGGAGTTTAGGAGATAGTGAGAGAATACAGAATTGAATCGGGGCTCTGTTGAAGATGCTGACTTCTCTGCTCTGCTCTGCTCTACAAAACAAGATACCAGCTAAGGCAGCACTGAGAAGGGCTTCCAGAAGGAAGCTGGGGCAGTCTAGGGCCATATGGTCACTTCACGGGTCCATGGACCCCCTTCTACAAAAAACATTCTCTCCTCCTATACTTTGTCTCTCCGCATCTGTAGTTTGAGATTATATTTATTACTTTTTTCCTATTTAGTTTTCTTATTGCTCCCTTTGTTGAACTCTCATTTTGATCCAGTTTCTTTATCTTCTCATGACTTTTAATTTATTTTGTATTTTCCTTTGCTCATCATCAATATTATTTATATTGTATTCACTTAGAAACTGAATGGTGATTTTTATCCCTTATCCTCTTAAATTGTTTAGAAGTAAATCTTATGTATCACATACACACATCTTATACTCATGCCTTTGCTTGGACCTTATGATGAAAATCTTCCCCGATTTTTTGAAGTATCTTCTTCACTCTTCCCTGATTTTTCCAAGTATCTTCTTCCATCCCTGCATTATGTAAGAAGACCATTCTTATTCACTGAAACAAGAAATATTTTACCACATTTTAAAATATTGCATGGCTTGGTAAATATCCCAAAGGGAGTACCATTTTTCTAGCAGTTTAATTCTTTTGAAAGTATCAACTACAGTATACTGAAGTGTTAATGTTAAAAGAGGCCTTAAAAAAATCTTTTGAAAGCATTTTGAAAAAGTGTAATGGAGTCCAAGTTAATTTTTTTATTAAACATTCATAAAAAAGAAAATGTGGAAGAGCTCAACCTTTTTCATATGAAAATAAGATTTAAGTAATTCAAAGTGATGATTAAATATGGGTATTAAGTAGATTGTAATGTAGTAGCAAATTTTTAAGTAAATTCTAATTTTTTCTGTACCAGATATCCCCCACAATTTCCACCCATCATCTCTTAACTTATGATAATATATAGATAATACTATAATCATTTTCTTAAAAATATTGGGCCATGTTTACAGCTTTAAAGTTAGTCACATGAACTAACACGATCTCTAAGACTCTGATATTTTGTGATGATTTAAATTTTGCATTAAGGCTTTCTCCTTGGTTCAAAATCTAACTATAGGACCAATGCAGGTGTTTAGTAAATCATCATCCAGCTTTTTAATATACTCTAACTTTTCATAAATATCACAGAATATTTGGATTAGGGGAAAGAAGGTAAGAAAAGAATAGGAAGGGGAAAAAACAAAAACCAAGTTGCATTCATTTTTACTTTGTGATCTAGCACAGTAATTATTTTGCCTACCTGTTGGAGGTGGACAGAGCTGAAACAGTTTTTTTTTTTTTTAATTTTGTTGATATTTAAGAAAGTGTATAAATTTAACCTTAGAAGAGGAACTTCTGTATGAGGTCTGGAGGTATGTGCCACATCTGGGTCCCACGGCAAGGGAGCAAGACTACACCACAGTTCTGTTGTCCCTGGGTTTGGAAGAACAACAGCTGCTTCTGTGAACATTCAAACCTGCTGCCATTTTGAGTAGTCTTCTTCCACACCTCCCGGAATTTCAAGCTCCTTAGAAAATGGTGCTTGCCATCTATACCTATGCAACAAACCTGCACATTCTGCACATGTATCCCGGAACTTAAAGTTAAAAATAAAAAAGAAAAGAAAACTGAAAAAAAGAGAAAATGGTGTTTGCTTTATGAGGCATATCAGTTGTGTCTCTATGATCAAAATTCTGTTAAATCTCAAGGGGCAAAAAGCAGTGAGGCTCTGGGAAAGTTAATGTACCTCTTTCTCCTTGTAGAGACTCCTATTTCTTACCTTGCTGATAGGCAACCAGTTTTGTGTGTTCTTGCCTCAGGAATTTTGACTTTTGTAATGGAGTAAAAGACATGAAAGATAATGGCAAGTGTCCAAGAGTGTGAGCTTAGAGGGAGAAAGCTTCTGAAGTCAAGAAGAATCCCTAAGACAGGTAAGAGGACGTGTTTTTAACTTCTGTAATAACAGTAATCATTCAGATATGTGTAAAACATATCTGAAGATAAGTTCCTAGCCATTGAAGTTTCAAGGTTCATAGAATCCCTGTGCCTCAAGAGTAGCAAAGTAGTTGAAGAGCTTGCATATTTAAAAGGGAATCTCTAAAGTTACCAGTGCAAGGCAATGATTGGCTCTTCCCTATATCTCAGTTCTATGAGTGACTGTCATAACCCTTTTAGGGAGGGTCTTATTATTCAGATTAAGTTTCCAAACTGTCTTATAGGAGGAGAATCTCAGTGTTAGAACTGAGTTGATTTTTAAGAAAATAGAGGGAAGCACTGGCTCCTACACACTGAGTTTGTAAGCTAAAACCTGCTAAGCATTAAAGCGACCCTTATTGTGGGAGTTCTGAAGGAAAACGTATCCTGTGGCTGTTGGAATTTTAAGCAGAGATGGCAGGGGAAAAAAAATAGGCCACAGGAATAGAATGACAGACAATGTCCTTGGGTAAGAGAAAACCAAATGGCCAGAAATTGATGAAAGAATAAATTTTCTTGAGATAGAGTTCAGAAAAAGAGCATTGATTTGAGAATGGATGTTGTACACCTCGATTTTATACACAGATCTACCTACAGTTTTACATGTGTGAAATACGAAAAGTCTATTACATTACATGATTCTTTTCAACAAAGCTGCTCATGATAATTGTGATCACATACAGTGAGAAATATTCTGTATGTAATACAATATTAAGTTAGAAAAAGAGAGAGGTTACCTCTAAAATGAAATGTAGATATTTTTATACATAACTATGAAAACAAAGTATTCCTTAATCCTATGTAATCAGTTATCTATTGGGTCAGAATAGCAGGAATAAAAAAAGAGGGAGACTGTTCATAATAGCAAAGACTTGGAACCAACCCAAATGCCCATCAACGATAGGCTGGATAAAGAAAATGTGGCACATATACACCATGGAATACTATGTAGCCATAATAAAGGATGAGTTCATGTCCTTTACAGGGACACTGATGAAGCAGGAAACCATCATTCTCAGCAAACTAACACAAGAACAGAAAACCAAACACCACATGTTCTCACTCATAAGTGGGAGCTAAACAGTGAGAACACATGGACACAGGAAGGGGAACATCACAAACTAGGGCCTGTCGGGGAGTAGGGGGCTATGGGAGAGATAGCATTAGGAGAAATACCTAATGTAGATGATGGGTTGATGGGTGCAGTAAACCACCATGGCACGTGTATACCTATGTAACAAACCTGCACATTCTACACATGTATCCCAGAACTTAAAGTATAATAAACTTTTTTAAAAAAGAGGGAGATATGGTCTTGTCCTTGGAGATCTCACAAAGTGTCTAGAAAAAACAAATCTATGAATGAATAATTTGAAAAAAATATATTTATCCAAATGTTAGCATATTTGGCAGAGAGTATTAAACATCCAGAGAAAGAGAAGACTGACATGACAGGGAATTCTTCCCAAAGGATAGGGAAAGACTCGAGAAGAAATTCAGGCCATAGAAAGATCCTTCTAAACACATATTTTCTGTCAGATTTACTTTAACAATGGACAAGTACTGCCACCATATTCAAAATTAAAGTAAAAATAAAATAACTGAAATAAGAACAATTGATGGGGTCTGTGCATCGATATTTGAAAATTTATATAACATATATGTTTTATCACCAAATTTACATTATCACAGTAAACATGAAAGTCTAACTTTACTAGCGCCCATGGGGAGATAAAATAATCAACTCTCAGCATCCAAAATTTCTCCTCCATTTTACTCCAAATACATCTTATCATTCACTTAAATGTTGGAATTACTCCACATAATAAAACACATCCAAATTTACCCCAACACCAGAGATTCTTCCAAACTCTAAGTTTCAGCTGCGGAAAGGAGCAATTGAACAGACTTGATATTCAGACCATCACAAGTCTCCTAGGTCAGTTCTGAGGGTTTGGTAAAATGATAAAAATCTACTCCCCAGTGGGAAGTCTAGCTGACTACCATAGTTAGACATGGAATTCTAATCATTATTCAGCATGTCTTATAAAAAGGTCTAAAATCATGACAAAACTCTTTGTTTTTTTCTTACTTAAGTGGCACACAAGGAGGTGAAAACCTACAAAAGCCATTCAACATAGTTCTTATTAACCAACATTAACTGCCTGCCCTGGGAATTGAGTCCTGGTTCTCAAAAGCAAATAATAAAAAGTAAATTTCATCACACAGGGATTTTTTTTTTGGTTGAGTTTACAAGTGTAGTAAAGAGATTAAACAAAATGGCCTTAAAGGCCACAAATGTCCAACAGAGAAAGCTTGCTTCCTAGGATTCAAATCTATTGCAAAAATGACCTATTTTTATAAGACAGTTTTCTTTTGATCTCTATAAACTTGCTGAGCTCCCTTATACTCTCATTGCACACAAACCTTTTATGAAGCTCCAATTAATTTCATTGTTTATCTAAGTGAATAAAACTCTACAATTTCATTGCAGTTAAATCAGATAAAGCATTCATGTAATTCTGATAATTGGTGCATGTGATTTTTCAGTATTTATATGTATATGTTAAAGATATTTGGACAAGATTGTTAGTAGATACATTCTGATGGATTCCCTGTGGTGTTAATTCACCAATAAAATATCCATTTGGCATGTAATATAACAAATACAAGATTTAGTTGGCATTGTTAGACCTCAAAAATGGACCACCAGAATAATTATTTTTATTCTTGCTCCACAATTAGCTACTTAATTATTGTGAACGAGTTAATTATGTAAGTCAACTAAGTATTATGAAAGGATAATATATGAAGGCTAGCCCATAAATTCTTTTTTTTTCTTAGATGGAGTCTTGCTCCATTGCCCAGGCTGGAGTGCAGTGGCGTGATCTCAGCTGACTGCAACCTCCGCCTCCTAGACTCAAGCAATTCTCCTGCCTCAGCCTCCCGAGTAGCTGGGATTACACGTGCCTGCCACCACACCTGTAATTTTTTTTTTTTTTTTTGTATTTTTAGTAGAGACGGGGTTTTACCATGTTGACCAGGTTGGTCTTGAACTCCTGACCTCAGGTGATCCACGCACCTTGGCCTCCCAAACTGCTGGGATTACAGGCGTAAGCCACCACGCCCAGCCTAGCCCATATATTCTTAACTTGGTTGTGTGTTATAATTATGCTCAGGGAGTAAACATTTCTAGCCAAACTTTAGCATAATCTAGTTTAAGTATACAAATCAGGTTAATAAATGTATGCGTTGATCTACATTTGGTTTCCATCTTCCCCAGTACCTCCTGGTTTTATTTACCATCTAATTACCAAATCTGATCTTTAACAGAAATTAACTAATACTGTTTTAGAAATAAGTAATTATTAATTTATAAATTAGGGCCGGGTGCAGTGGCTCACGCCTGCAATCCCAGCACTTTTGGAAATCAAGGCGGGTGGATTACCTAGGCCAGGAGTTTGAGACCAGCCTGGCCAACATGATGAAACCCCGTCTCTACTAAAAACACACAAAAAATTAGCTGGGTGTGGTGGCAGGCACCTGTAATCCCAGCTACTCGGGAGGCTGAGGCAGGAGAATCACTTGAAGCCGGGAGGTGGAGGTTGCAGTGAGCTGAGATCATGCCACTGCACTCCAGCCTGGGTGACAGTGCAAGACAAAAAAGAAGAAAGGAAAAGAAAGAAAGAAAAGAAGGAAGGAAGGAAGGAAGGAAGGAAGGGAGGGAGGGAGGGAGGGAGGGAGGGAGGGAGGGAAAGAAAGGGAAAGGAAAGGAAAGGAAAGGAGGTGAAGGAGGGGAAGGAGAAAAAGTAAGGAAGGAAGGAAGGATGGAAGGAAGGGAAAGAAAGAAAGGGAGAAGGAGAGAAAGAAAGAAAGAAAGAAAGAAAGAAAGAAAGAAAGAAAGAAAGAAGGAAGGAAGGAAGGAGGAAGGAAGAAAAAAAAAGAAAGAAAGAAAGAAAGAAAGAAAGAGGGAGGAAGGAAATACAAATTAGAAGACAGACTAACTATCTTTGAGCCCCATTGCTTTCATCTTGTCCTTTCTAGAAAGGCCTCTAATAAGTTGTAGATGTCACTACAGGGAAATGCTTTGTCTTTTCAGAGAATCATCCAGTATTTGTGTTGATTTGAAATTAGTTTTTTTTAGTATGCTCATAAAAATTCAAATAAAGAAAGCTATCACTAATTTTGTCAGGGATTTTAAACCGAAATGTCTACTCAGGCCAGAAAGTTGATTCAAATGAGTAAGATTGCCCAAGCGTGGACTGTTACAAAATGGACAAACCAGACTTACCCATCTGAGGGATGCGGCACCACTCAGCAACAGCTTATCATTTTCAGAATAGCATAGAGCCTAGATCAGACAAATTTTCCAAGAGAACTAGAATTCTGGAATTTTATTTAAAAAAATCTCTTGATATTTAAATGCTAACATCAACTAAACATTTTTTTTAAACACAATGCAAGTCAAAATAAATATATCTGCTGTCTATATTAGGACAATTTGGACCTCAATTAAATAATAATGCACTGCAATCTGGATAAAACATTATATTTTATTCTTAAATGCCATTGTAGATTATGACTGTTCTTATCTCTTTTCCTTATGGAAGGTTATTTTAATTTTATATATCTCACATACCTTTGTATTTTATGTATATTTTTATCATTCAACTCAAAATTAACCATGAGTGAACTAAGGTTAAGGAGAAGGATAATGGTAGGGAATGTTTCTGTGTTCAAAAGCAAGGGTGGTTAAATGCCTTCTGCACATATTATTTTCTATTGCCTAAGTTTAGATTTTCCATCCTGACCCTAAAGTAAACCCACAAGGAAAGTGCAAACTCATACTGGCTCTTGTTAACTGAGCAGAATTAAAAATCAGTGTTCTGTTCCTATGGACTAGAAGGCAATTTAAAACACCCAGGACATCAGCTGGGAAACTTCTTAATTCTTAGCTTTATTCTCATTCAAGACCTATATATGGAAATTCTAATCAATGTGTTCATTAAACAAGACACCCAGATATTAATCAAGCTTCTTGCAAAGCCCTTTCTACTGTCTGACAGTTGGTAGCAAAAAGGAGGGTGCTTCAATAAATGCTCAGAATTATGATTACAAAGAATAAAGATATTTTCCTGATTCTCTCAATAAAGGGTAAGTGAAGCATCACAATGAAAGAATTTATAATTAAGTTGCTTGGGTTGTATTGCGATTTCTCCTTAACACATATGCCCAGACTGATTCACCGAAGGAAATGCTTTGAATGATTCATTTTGGTGGAAGGAATCATTGCTATTATCAAGAGCTAAGAGACACAAGAACTGAAATTATCCACCAGCCAAGAGACAGAATCGATTGTACTTCTGCCAGGTCATCACTCCTTATAATTAAGAGAGAACATACAACATTCTCTAATCAGACCTGGTAAGTGTAAGAACCTAATGAAGAATTGTTGATTTATAAAAAGCAAAAATTACAAACTAATATCCCTCATGAAGACGCAAAAATTCTTGAAAAATTTGTAACAAATTCAATTCAATAATCTATAAAAAGACTAATACATTATGACTAAATACATTTTGTATCAGGAATGTAAAGTTGAATGAATCAATGTCATTTATTATATTAAAAAAGGGATTAAGTAATAATATCTCCGTAGATACAGAAAAGCATTGGATAAAGTTCAGCACAACCTCATTAAGAATTCTCAGCATGCCAAGAAGAGAAGAGACCTTATTTAATTTGATAAAAGTCATCTATTACAATTTAATATTTATAACTAATGTTATAATTTAATACTATTGGGAAAAGCCTAAATGTTCATCCGTGGGGCACTGGTTGAATAAATTATGGTATATCCAACCAAGCAACTACTCTAATAGACATAAAAAGTAAAGAGGACAAAGAATATGATGTAGAGTGCTTTGCAAGATATACTGAAAAGTGGAAAAGCAAGGTGTTACACTCCCTGCAAGAAGTGGAGCTTAACCCTCCACCCCCTTTTTAGCATGAACTGTACATAGTGACTCAATCACTTCCAACGAATAGAATATGGAAAAAGAAAAACAATATTTTTTTAGTGGGAAACTCTAGCAAGTACTACCTTAACCAACTGAGCACAGTTAACATCACTAGTCGTTAAGTCATGTTGATAGCATGTCCCCATATGGCCTGATGAGAAAGGTACTTTATCTCTGTTGTATTCTTCCCCAAAGCCCATAATCCCAACCTCTTCACGAGAAAAACATCACCCCATTTGGTGGGTATTCTACAAAATATCCAACCAATACATCTCATGGCAAGGTCATGAGTAAATTAAAAGCTGACAAACTTTAACAAAGCAGAGAAGACTAAAGATACATGTGACAAAATCCACTGTGAGATCCTTCATGGGATACTGGAACAGAAAAAGAATATTAGTGGAAAAACTCGTAAAATCCAGTTAATAGTCATTTGTAAATGTTGATTTTGTTTGTTTGTTTCACAAATATTCCATAGGAAAACATAATTTTAACTGCAGGAGAAACCATGTGAGGGGCATATGAGAATTCTAATATCTTTGCAACTCTTCTGAAAGCCTAATGTTGTATTAAAAGAAAATTTATTTTAAGAAAAACAATATGGAAAAGAGTGTATGTAATGTCAAATATGTTGTGAGAAATAAAAAATAAGAAAATAAATATGTTTTTCCTATTTTTACAAAAGAAAACACAGGAAAGATAGACTAGAAACTGATGACAGAAGTTTCTTATAAGAAATAAGTAGGATTGGAGTAGATGGGGTACGTGTGAAAAGAAGACTTCCCTGATTATATCACATTCTATAGTTTTGATTTGTTAAATAAAATCTTTAATATTTTGATTGATAATATCTGGAGAGGATGACATCCAACTGGCACAAGGCAACATGATTGTGATGCAGTGAAGAAGGGGGAATCAACATTACATTTCCTTGAATCCCCACAGAAAACAAAGACCACCATAGTTATGACCAATTTACATGTGTGTAGATTATTGTCCCCTGTGACAAAGCTTCACACACTAAAAAGGCACATTGGGAATGAGCTTGAGTCATTGTAGTGCTCTCACAAAGATGCTAGACACACACTTTATGATAGGTAGTGTTAATGTCTAGGTTAAACAGAAGCTTTCCCCCGGCAGTGGAACTTCCTTTCCTTTTCTCATTCATTTTCTTTGGAGGACTCCTTTTTCTCAATCAATTAAACTTTATTATTTCTATTAAGCAATTTGAAAGGACTGGTGTAGCCTGCAGTGTAATAAACCTTTTTATTGAAAACTTTTCCTTCTTCCCTCAAAATGCTTAAATGCTTGCTAATGTCAAAAGTTGTTCTTTTTTTTTTGAGACGGAGTGTCCCTTTGTCGCCCAGGCTGGAGTGCAGTGGCTCCATCTCTGCTCATAGCAACCTCCGCCTCCTGGGTTCAAGCAGTTCTCCTGCCTCAGCCTCCTGATTAGCTGGGATTACAGGCATGCGCCACCACACCCGGCTAATATTTTTGTATTTTTAATAGAAACGGGGTTTCAGCATGTTGGTCAAGCTGGTCTCAAACTCCTGACCTCATGATCCGCCTGCCTTGGCCTCCCAAAGGGAAGTTGCTCTTGATTCTTTGGGGCACTAGAGTATCCACTGAATGAAACACAGCATATCGGCTGTGTCTTCAATAAAGTCATCTGACTCTGAAGGCCTGGGCAGATGGAATTGCTGTTCAGAGGAGATATACAGGGAAATGGTCTTGGTAGACTCACTAAAAGGACATGAACCAACCTTTGGTTGGTCCAGCTTGTGACTGGAGCTGTCACCATTATTTTCATCTCTTTCTCCTTTTGCCTTGAATGTAGATGTTCAGTTTTGTAAAGCCTGTCTGGATGGCTGAACCCCTGTTCATAGACTCAACAGAAGTGCTGACCCACTTAACTGTCCACACTGTCAGATCCCATGACTTCAGAGCTGGGGGCTTCCAACCTCTGGGGCCTTCCAGCCCAGTGTCCACAGCTTGAACCACCATGAAGGGCTGACACCTGGGCCCACCTGCCACCAGGCCAATCAAGCTGTGCCACCAGTTTTGATTTTTGAAGCATGTAAATATTCTACATGTTCAAAATATAAAATTATGCCAAAAATAAAAACATAGAATACAAACAGAAACAAATGAGCCTGAAAGTGTTCTTGCTGGATATTTTTGTACTAAACCCTAAATAAACAGAAGAATCTAGTATATGGGACATCCTTCAGGACAACTGACCTGGCCTATTTAAAGCATTCAAAGTCACAAAGGACAGAGTGAGCCTGCTGAGGGAAAGAGGAGCATTCTAAGGACACTACAGAGACATAACAATTACAATGTGTGAACCTCGGTTGGATCCTATGTGAAAAGGGGGAAAACTCATCTATATAAAACATTTTGGAAAAGCGGGGAAATTTGGTATATAGTATGGACTACATACTGTGTAGTATTACATAAGTAGTATTGATTTCTTAGATAGATGATAGCTCGGTGTTTGTTGGAAGATGTTCCTGTTTTTGCTAGATGCATACTGAAGTTTTCAGAGGTGAGGTTTCACCATGGTTGAAATATACTTTCAGATGATTTGACAAAAAAGAAATATGTGTCTATCTACAAAGAGAGATAAAGGAAACTTGGCAGTTTTTAACAGTAAATCTAGTTGTGGGATACACTGGTGTTCATTGTACTACTCTTTTAACTTTTCTATAGTTTTGAAAATTTTTCAAATAAGAAGAGATTTTAAAGTCAATTTATTCACTTTTCTAATCTTCCTTCTAATGAACATTCTCCATCAGGTTAGGCACTTTGTAGGATTCATTTTTGTCATGTATTTCACTCATTTTGTCTACAGTTACCAGCCTACTTATGTATTATATTTCTCTGATCAATTTTGCTGATTTTTCTTCTTAGATCATCCATGTCATCCATAGTTTCAAATTCTTTAGCACTCTACATATTAAAGAGTACATATATAAAGCATTGTTTAAGTTATGAACTTCCCACCCAAATAAGTTTCCACTTTCTTCCATATTTAAGTCATTTGATTTTTAATTTCTCATATGGAAGCATATAGGATAACTATAGAAACAGCCACAAGCAATATAGGCCAATATATTCAGCCCTTAGAGCCAGTTAACTTGCTAAATGCCCACTGGATTTGAAGGCACCAGTAGCAGATAGCTAGGGAAAAGTGCTGGTCATAGATAAATATGGGATTGATACTAGGAAAAGTGTGGTCCTTTATCATTAACCATTAAATATGCTAATGTATACTATCATTTTAACCTCTTTTGCTCCTACATGCCTTCCTCTGTCTTATTTTTGAAAAGACAAGATACAGTCACAGCCACACAAGTTGGTCCCAGTCCAGTGATGCTGCTGGGATGCCTGGCAGATGCAAAGGGCAGACTCACAGTGGGGCAAGATTTCCTCAAATGCAAGATATTTTCCTATGTACGGGATGGCATTTTGGAAGACTGTTTTCTGATTGTGTTTCTTCTCTCTAAGTGCTTTCTCCATAATGTAAATATCGAAGTCTTGCTATCTGAGTTACAAAGCAATTAAAGAAAATATTTCATACTTCCTAGTCTTAAAATATTAAAATCTAAAACCTGGAAATAACACAAGGAGAGAAATCCAAATACCGCATGTTCTTACTTGTAAGTGGGAGCTAAATTATGAGAACTTACGAACACAAAGGGGGAACAACAGACATTGGGGTCTACTTGAGGGTGGAGTGTGGGAGAGGGGAGAGAAGAAGAAAAGATACATGTTGGGTACCGGGCTTAATTCCTGGGTGATGAAATATGTACAACCAATCCCCATGACATGAGCTCACCTCTGTAACAAACTTTCACATGTACCCCTAAACCTAAAATAAAAGTTAAAAAATAAATAAATAAATAAATAAAACCTGGAAAAATACTAATATATATTTTGAGGACAGCTTATACCTCTGAAGAAAGAAATAAAATATTTCACCCCCAAAATATTCACCTAGAAGTTTAATAACCTAAATATGATTCTCTAAAAATCATATCAATATTATTCAAGAGTTTAGAAGTCTGTATTGTTATAAGAAGTAGATGTTTCTTCTATATTTTCCCTCTTTTTAAATTTTAATAGAAGAGGATGATAATTGAATGAGGTCTAAAAGTAAAATTTAGAAACTAAAATCTCATCCTGGGGTATGTGGGAAAGTGCATGGGCTTTCTGAGTTCAAATTCTAGCTCTGCAACTTCATAGCACATGGTACTGGGATAGTCACATTTCCTCACCTGTAGGTTAGGGTGAGCAAATACCTATCAAAATAAAAAGAAATAATAAAAATAAGTTGAAAGCTGGAAACATTGTTGAATAAATACAAAACAAATTAGTGCTAGATAAAATATAACAAACTTATTTAAAATTTACCTCTTAAGAAAAAAAAAGAAAATACCAGAAGATAGGAATAAAGGGGGAAATTAAGCCATAGCAATAATGCTAAGTCTGATTCTGCAATAGCTCTTGAGTGGGAAAATGGGACTATCAAAGTCAGTTAAGACTAAGAGTTCAGATTATGTTGCCCAAGCATGCAAATATTTTGAAGCCTTAGTACTAAAAATTGCATAAAATTAGAAGTGGCACGCCTTAATTACGAGATGCCTCAAAGGACTGGACTACCAGTAAAAGAAGATCTTGGGGGACGGGGTGGGGGGAGAATATGTTTTCCTACAGAGGAAAAATGAAGAAGTTTGTTTCTGTCTCAGCTGTAAATAAAAAAAGAAAAGAAAGAAAAAAGTCTTCCCTGAGAAATTGAAAACACAGACTGTGCCTCTCCTAGGTTTAGAATCTAACTATATACTATTAGCATAGTATGGTAAAATTCAAGTTGACTAGTTAAAATTAAAAGTTAGTGAGGCAAAATCTAGGAACATAAATTGATACAAAGTACTGACCGATGCTAGTTAGCCTTCAGCAGAGCAGATACAGGATCATAAAGGTGAATGATTGTATTAATCCAATAAGGAGCATGCAAAAAGACATGGAAGAGTAGGTATGAGGGTGTTTAAAAGAAGAAAAATCAGGGCTTAAGTTAAAGAAAATGGTAAGTGAAACTATTTGATGCTGAGAAATAGGTAATGGTAAGACACAAAAGTGCTGGAAATCACAATGATGTCAAAACAGGTGTAGTGAGAGAGAGAGAGATCTGAAAGGTCAGGTCTTCGTATTAAGAAATTAATATGCCACATTTAGTATGTTAAAATTTAAGATTGCTTTGATGGAGTAAGCTCAGTCAGAATTTCTAAACAGGAGAGAATTCCTGAACAGAAAAATTAATAAAGGTTTTTACTGTTAAAGAAGTTAATGTTAGAGTCAGGGTGCCGACCACCCTCTCCCAGAATTCTGGCTGATAGAATGTACACAGGCTGATAGGGCCTAAAATATCAGCTTATTAATAATAGCGCAATGCCCTTCAAATGCACAACTCTGTGACAAAGCTAAATATAATAATGTTGCTGGTATATGAGACCAAGCTGATGGCCTTCAAATACCTGCTCCAGTCTAATCTTAGTGACCCACCTGTTGGGAGTGTTAAGTCCACAAAACAGATTGAACCTTGGTTTAACTACCAAAGTGAGTCATGAGCAAAACAGGAGGTAGAAGAGAGAATGACAATCTTGTGACCTGGTTTGTACTTACACATAGGAAGAAGAAGTAAAGAAGAGCCCAATTCATTTCATGCCAGTTTTTGAGGCAGGTAAAAATGAGAAGGAAGGGAAGACATGAGGGAGGGGAAGGAAGTTTAGAAGGAACGAAAGAGAGAGAGAGGAAAACTGATAGACAGAGAAAGAAACCCATGTCCCATTTTTGAGGCTAAATAAAAGCATCAAAACAAAAAAGAAAAGAGATTTCCGGCCAAGATGGCCAGCTAGAAGCAGCTAGTGTGCATGGCTCTCATCATAGAGAGGAACAAAAGGGGCAAGTAAATACAGCACCTTCAACTGAAACATTCAGCTCCTTGCATTGAGACTGATCAAGGAAACAGCTCAACCCATGGACAATGTACAAAAGCAGGGCAGGACAATGGCCCACCCAGGAGTGGGAGTGAAACACAAAGCCAGGGGAACCTCTCCCCAGCCAGGGAAGTGGTGAGTCAATGTGTGATTCTGGGAAACCACATTTCTTCCACAGATCTTTGCAACCTCCAAGTCAGATGATTCCCTTGTGAACCCACTCCACCAGGGCCTTTGGTCTGACACACAGGGCTGCATGGAGTCTCAGCAGAGCAGCTGCTCAGGCACACACAGAGACATGGGAGCCTTACATGCTGTGGCTCTGCGCTCCCCAGCAAAGTGACTGCAACTCAGGCAAGGCAGGAGTTGGACCTCCATCCATACCCCTGGAAAGAGGGCTGAATCCAGGAGGCCTAGCAGTGACAGTCTGTAGGTCCCACTTCCATGGTGCCTCACAGGATTAGACCCACTGGTTTAGAATTCCAGCCAGCCACCAGCAACAACTGAGACAGATGGGTTTCCCAGGATGAGAGACAGGCCACCATCTTTGCTATTTGGGTGATTCAGCTGTTCCGGCCTGTGGGCTTTGGAGAGTCCAAACTGACTCGGGGTGGAAAGGATCCTGCAGCATAGCACAGCTGCTCTACCAAAATGTGACCAGACTGCTTCTTTAAGTGCGTCCCAGATCCATTCATCTTCACTGGGCAGAACCTCCCAACTGGGGCCTCCAGCCATTCCTGCTGATGTTCTCTTTTGAAAACTTCCTGGGACAGAGCTTCTAGAGGGAATGACAAGTTGCCATCTTTGCTGTTTCCATGACTTAGCTGTTTCAGCCTCCAAGCTTTGGAGCACCCAAGCCAACTGGGGGCAGAAGAAGTACCCCATCACAGCACAGTTGCTCTACAAAAGCATAGCTATATGGCATCTTTAAGCGAATCCCCGATCCTGTTGCTCCAGACTGAGTGAGACCTCCCAACAGGGGTCCCCAGCCAACTCCTGTAAGTGTATTCAGGCTGGCAACATGTTCATATCCCCCTGGGATGAGGAAAGGACAGGCTGCCCTCTTCACGGTTTCACAGCCTTCACTAGTGATACCTCCAAGTACTGGGAAATCTGAGGTGACTAGGGTCTGTAGTGGAGCCCCAGCAAACCACAGCAGCCCTATAGAAAATTGTCCAGACTGTTAAAAGAAAAAATACTAAAGGTAAAGAACCTCAAAGATTTAATGTATATAAGCCCAGAAAGGTGAGAAAGAATCAGCAGGAGAAGGCTGAAAACTCAAAAAGCCAGAGTGCCCTTTTTTCTCCAATGACTACATCACCTCTCCAGTAAGGGATCAGAACTGGGCTGAGGCTGAGATGGCTAAAATGACAGAAATAGAATTCAGAATGTGGATAGAAATGAACTTCACTGAGCTAAAGTAGCACATTGTAACCCAATACATGGAAGCTAAAAACCATGATAAAACATTGTGGGAGCTGACAGACAAAATATCTAGTACAAGGAAGAATGTAACCAATCTGATAAAGCTGAGAAACACACTATAAAAATTTCATAATGCAATCACAAGTATTAATAGCAGAATAGGCCAAGTGGAGAAAAGAATCTCAGAGCTTAAAGACTGTCCTTCTGAAATAAGACAGGCAGGCAAGAATAGAGAAAAAAGAAGGAAATGGAATGAACAAAACCTCATGTGAAGGTCTCTAAGAACTTGCCTTATCAATCTGGGTACTCCTGTGTTGGGTGCATATATATATTTAGGATAGTTAGCTCTTCTTGTTGAACTGAACCCTTTACCATTATGTAATGCCCTTCTTTGTCTTTTTTGATCTTTGTCAGTCTAAAGTCTGCTTTGTCAGAAACTAGGATTGCAAACCCTGCTTTTTTCTGCTATCCATTTAATTGATAAGTTTTCCTCAATCCCTTTATTTTGAGCCTATGTCTGTCATTGCATGTGAAAGGGATCTCTTGAAGACTGCATACCAATGGATCTTGGTTCTTTATCCAGCTTGCTATTCCATGTCTTTTAATCCAGGCAGTTAGCCATTTGCTTTTAAGGTTAGTATTGTTATGTGTCATCATGATGCTAGCTGATTATTTTGCATCCTGTCATCATGATGCTGGCTGATTATTTTGCAGACTTGTTTATGCAGTTGCTTCATAGTGCCATTGGTCTGTGTATTTCAGTGTGTTTTTGTAGTGGCTGGTAACAATTTTTCCTTTGCACATTTAGTGCTTCCTTCAGGAGCTCCTGCAAGGCAGGCATGGTGGTAACAAATTCCCTCAGCATTTGCTTGTCTGAAAAGGATCTTATTTCCCCTTCACTGATAAAGCTTAGTTTGGCTGGATACAAAATTTGGGGTTGTAAATTCTTTTCTTTAAGAATGTTGAATATTGGCCCTCAATCTCTTCTGGCTTATAGGGTTTCTGCTGAGAGGTCTGCTGTTAGTCTGTTGGGCTTCTCCTTGTAGGTGACCTGGTCTTTCTCTCTGGCTGCCCTTAACATTTTTTCATTCACTTTGACCTTGAAGAATGTGAAGATTATGTGTCTTAAAGATGACCTTCTCATAGAGCATCTTTCTGGGGTTCTCTGGATTTCCTGAATTTGAATGTTGGCCTGTCTAGCTAGATTGGGGAAGTTCTCATGGATGATATCCATGAGATCTCTTTCAGGTGCACCAGTCAGTCATAGATTCAGTCTCTTTACATAATCCACCTGAAATACCAAAAATCCAAATATGCCAAATAAAAGACAGAGATTGTCAGTGTGTATCAAAAAAAACAACATCCAACTATATGTTGTCTACAAGAAACCCACATTAAATACAAAGACACATATAGATTAAAAGTAAAGGGATGGAGAAAAATATGCCATGCTAACAAAAATCAAAAGAAAGGCATATTGGCTATATTAATTTCGAGTAGAGCAGACATCAGAGCAATGAAAGTTATCAGGGTTAAACAGAAGCATAACATAATGAAATATCAGTTAATTATCCAAAGAAACATAGCAATTCTTTTTTTTTTTTTTTTTTGAGACGGAGTCTCGCTCTGTCGCCCAGGCTGGAGTGCAGTGGCGGGATCTCGGCTCACTGCAAGCTCCGCCTCCCGGGTTCATGCCATTCTCCTGCCTCAGCCTCCCAAGTAGCTGGGACTACAGGCGCCCGCCACTACACCCGGCTAATTTTTTGTATTTTTAGTAGAGACGGGGTTTCACCGTTTTTTTTTAGCCGGGATGGTCTCGATCTCCTGACCTCGTGATCCGCCCGCCTCGGCCTCCCAAAGTGCTGGGATTACAGGCGTGAGCCACCGCGCCTGGCCGAAACATAGCAATTCTTAATGTGTGTGTGCCTAAAAACAGAATGTCAAAATACATGAGGCAAAAATTAATAGAACTGCAAGGAGAAATAGATTAATCCACTATTGCTCAGAGTCTTCACTACCTATTAGAAATGGGCAGGTTCAGTAAGCAGAAAGTAAGACATAGTTGAACTCAGCAGCAATCAACTAGATGCAATTGACATCTATAGACTACTTCACCCAAAAACAGATTAAACACTAATCTCACCTTACATGGAACATTCACCAAGAGAGACGACATTCTAGGTTATAAAACACAACTTGGCTGGGTGCGTTGGCCCACAACTGTAATCCCAGCACTTCGGGAGGCCGAGGTGGGCAGATCATGAGGTCAGGGGTTCAAGACCAGCCTGGCCAATATGGTGAAACCCCATCTCTACTAAAAATACAAAAATTATCTAGCCTGGTGGCACATGCCTGTAGTCCCAGCTACTTGGGAGGCTGAGGCAGAAGAATCGCTTGAACCTGGGAGGCAGAGGCTGCAGTCAGCCGAGATCATGCCACTGCACTCCAGCCTGGGTGACAGAGCGAGATTCTGTCAAAAAAAAAAACAAAAAAACAGCACAGAACTCAATTCAGTATGAATGATAGCTGAAAAATCTCAAAGTACTTGAACACTAAGCAACACACTTCTTAATAACACATGATCAAAGAAGAAATCTCGAAAGAAATTTTAAAAGATTATTCACTAAATATATATGCAATTTATTAAAATATGTGGGATACAGTAAAGGCAGTGTTTAAAGGGAAATTTATAGCCTTGAATGTGTATAGTAGAAAAGAAGAAAGATCTAAAGTCAACAAGCTAAGCTTCTACCTCAAAAAAACTAGAAAGAAAAAGAGCAAATAAAATCCAAAGTAAACATAAAAAAGAAATAATAAAAATTAGAGCAGAAATACATATAATTTAAAACAGGAAACCAGGAAGTCTTAGCCAGAGCAATTAGGCAAGAGAAAGAAATAAAAGATATCGAAATAGGAAAAAAAGAAGTCAAACTATCTCTCTTCGCTGATAATAGGATTCTATACCTAGAAAACCCTGAAAATTCCACCAAAAGGCTCCTGAGTTAATGAACAACTTCAGTAAAGTTTTGGGAAATAAAGTCAATGTATAAAAATCAATAGCACTTCTGTATAGCAATATCATTCAAGCTCAGAGCCAAATCAAGAATGCAGTTCCATTTACAATAGACACACACACACACACACACACACACACACACACACACACACATATCTAGGAATACATCTAATCAAGGAATTGAAAGCTCTCTACAAGCAGAGCTACAAAACACTCCTGAAAAAAATCATAGATAACTCGACCAAATCTAAAAACATTCCATGCTCATAGATTGTAAGAATCAATATTGTTAAAATAGCCATCCCGTCCAAAGCAATCTACAGATTCAACATTATTCCTATCAAACTACCAATGTCATTTTTCACAGAACTGGAGAAAACACATTCTAAAGTTCATATGGAACCAAAAAAGAGCCCAAAGAGCCAAAGCAATCCTCAGCAAAAAGAACAAAGCTGGAGGAATCACATTACTTGACTTCAAACTGTATTATAAGGCTACAGTAAACAAAACAGCATGATACTGGTTTGAAAAAAGCCCAGACACATAGACCAATGAAACAGGATAGAAAGCCCAGAAATAAAGCTGCACACCTACAACAATTTGAACTTTGGCAGAGTCAACAAAAATAAGCAATAGACAAAGAACTCCTTATTCAAAAAATGGTGCTGAAAAAAAAAAGCTTTAGGCATAATGTCACTTGAATTCATACTACACTACAGGGCTACAGTAACCAAAACAGCATGGTACTGGTACTAAAAAACAGACACATAGACCAGTGCAACAGAATAGAGAGCCCAGAAATAAGGCTGCACACCTACAACCATCTGATCTTTGACAAACCTGACAAAAACAAGCAATAGGGAAGGACTCTTTATTCAATAAATGATGCTCGGATAACTTGTTAGCCATATGCAGAAGATTGAAAGTGGACTCCTTCCTCATACCATGTACAAAAATCAACTCAACATGAATTAAAAACTTAAAAGTAAAACCCAAAACTATAAAAACCCTGGAAGATAACCTAGGCAATACCATCTTGGACATAGGAACTGGCAAAGATTTCATGGCAGGAAGCCAAAAGCCATCACAACTAAAACAAAATTTGACAAACGGGATATAATTAAATTAAAGAGCTTCTGCACAGGAAAAACAATAATCAATCAAGTAAACAGAAAACCTACAGTATAGGAGAAAATTTCTGCAAACTATGCATCTGACAAAGGTCTAATATCCAGCATCTATAAGAAACTGAAACAAATCTGCAAGAAAAGCAAACAAACCCATTAAAAGTGGACAAAAGGCATGAACAGACACTTTTCTTTTCTTTTCTTTTTGATGTGCTTTTTTCTAAAATTTTATTTTAAGTTTTCTGGGATACATGTGCAGGACGTCCAGGTTTGTTACATAGGTAAATGTGTGCCATGGTGGTATGTTGCACCTATCAACCCATCACCTAGGTTTTAAGCCCCACATGCATTAGCTATTTGTCCTGAAGCTTCTCATCCCCCTAGCCCCCCAACAGGCCCCATTGTGTATTGTTCCCCACTTCCCCCATGTCCATGTGTTCTCATTGTTCAGCTCCCACTTATGAGTGAGAACACATGGTGTATGGTTTTCTGTTCCTGTATTAGTTTGCTGAGGATAATGGCTTCCAGCTCTATCCATGTCCCTGCAAAGGACATGAACACATTCCTTTCTATGGCTGCATAGTATTCCATGGTGTATATGTACCACATTTTCTTTATCCAGTCTATCATTGATGGGCATCTGGGTTGATTCCATATCTTTGCCATTGTGAATAGTGCTGCAATAAATATATGTATGCACATATCTTTATAATAGAATGATTTGTATTCCTTTGGGTATATACTCAGTAATGGGATTGCTGGGTCAAATGATATTTCTGGTTCTAGATACTTGAGGAATCGCCACACTGTCTTCTACAATGGCTGAAATAATTTACACTCCCACCAACAATGTAAAAGCATTCCTATTTCTTCCCAGCCTCACCAACATCTGTTATTTCTTGACTTTCAAATAATTGCCATTCTAACTGGTGTGAGATGGTATCTCATTGTGTTTCTGATTTGCTGCTCTCTAATGATCAATGATGTTGAGCTTTTATTCATGTTTGTGGGTTGCATAAATGTCTTCTTTTGAGACATGTCTGTTTACATCCCCACTTTTTGATGGGGTGGTTTTTTTCTTGTAAATTTAAGTTCCTTGTAGATTCTAGATATTAGCTTTTTGTCAGATGGATAGATTGCAAAAATTTTCTCCCATTCCATAGGTTGTCTGTTCACTCTAATGAGAGTTTCTTTTGCTGTGTAGAAGCTCTTTAGGTTAATTATATCCCATTTGTCAATTTTTGCTTTTGTTGCAATTGCTTTTGATATTTTTGTCACAAAATCTTTGCCCATGCCTATGTCCTGAATGTTATTGCCTAGATTTTCTTCTAGGGTTTTTACAGTTTTGGGTTTTACATTTAAGTCTTTAATCCATCTTGAGTTAGTTGTTGTATAATGTGTAAGGAAGGGGTACAGTATCAATTTTCTGCATATGGCTAGCCAGTTTACCCAGAACCATTTATTAAATAGAGAATCTTTACCCAACTGCTTGTTTTCATCAGGTTTGTCGAAGATCAGATGGTTGAAGATGTGTGGTCTTATTTCTGAGATCTCTATTCTGTTCCATTGGTCTATGAAACAGACATTTTTCAAAAGAAGACATAATTGCAGCCAACAAGCATATGAAACAAATTCAATATCACTGATCATTAGAGAAATGCAAATCGAAACCACAATGAGATACCATCTCACACCAGTCAAAATGGCTATTTTTTAAACTTTTATGTTAAATTCAGGGGTACATGTGCAGGATTTGCAGGTTTGTTATATAGGTAAACTTGTGTCATGGGGGTGTGTTATACAGATTATTTCATCACCCAGGTATTAAACCTAGTATCCATTAGTTATTTTTCCTTATCCTCTCCATCCTTTGTTAGGCCCCAGTGTGTGTTTTTCCCTTCTGTATATCAATGTGTTCTCAACATTTAGCTTCCACTTTATATATAAGAACATGTGATATTTGCTTTTCTGTCCTTGCATTAGTTTGCTAAGGATAATGGCCTCCAGCCCTATACAGGTTCCTGCAAAGGATATGATCTCATTCTTTTTTATGGCTACATAGGGTTCCGTGGTGTATATGTATCACATTTTCTTTATCCAGTCTATCATTGATGGGTATTTGGGTTGATACTATGTCTTTGCTATTGTGAATAGTGCTGCAGTGAACATATGTGTGTGTGTGTGTGTCTTTATGATAGAATAATTTATATTCCTTTGGATATATACCCAGGAATGGGATTGCTGGATCGAATGGTATTTCTGTCTTTAGGTTTTTGAGGAATCACCACACTGTCTTCCACAGTGGTTGAACTAATTTACACTCCCACCAACAGTGTATAAATGTTCCTTTTTCTCTACAATCTCACCAGCATCTATTATTTACTTTTTAACAGCCAGAATGGCTATTACACACATGCATGCATATGTTCACTGCAACACTATTCACAATAGCAAAGACATGGAGTCAACCTAAATGCCCAACTATGGTAGACTGGATAAAGAAAATGTGGTACACATACACCATGGAATACTGTGCAGCCATGAAAAAGAACAAGATCATATCCTTTGCAGGAACATGGATGGAGCTGGAGGCCATTATCTTTAGTAAACTAATGCAGGAACAGAAAATGAAATACTGCATGTTCTTACTTATAAGTAGGAGCTAAATGATGAGAACACATGAACACATAGAGGGAAACAACAGATACTGAGGGTTACGTGAGGGTGGAGGGTGGAATGAGGAAGAGGATCAGGAAAAATAACTAAAGAGTACTAGGTTTAATACCTAGACCAAACAATCCATACAACTAACTCCCTTGACACAAGTTTATATAATAAACCTGCACAGATACTTAAAATAAACATTTTTAAAAATGGTGCTTGAACAGCTGGCTATTCATATGCACAAGAATGAAACTAAACCCCTACCTATCACCTTCTATAAAAATTAACTCAAGGTGCATTAAATATTTAAATGTAAGACCTCAAACTATAAAAATCCTAGAAGAAACTCTAAGGAACATCATTCTGGACTTTAGCCTGTGAAAGGAATTATGACTAAGTCCTCGGAAACAATAGCAACAAAAGCAAAAGTTAACAAGTGGGACCTATTACATTATGGAGCTTTTGCACAGTAAAAAAAACTATCAACAGAATAAACAGACAACCTACAGAACGGGAGAAAATATTCACAAACTACACATCCAACAAAGGTCTAACATCCAGATTCTATAAGGAAGTTCAATTCAATAAGGAAAAAAACCAATAATCCCATTAAAGAAAGGGCAAAAGACATGAACAGACACTTCTCAAAAGAAGACACGCAAATGGCTGACAAACATGTGAAATAAGCTCAACATCATTAATCATCAAAGTGCACATCAAAACCACAATGAGATAACATCTCACACCAGTCAGAATGGCTATTATAAAAGGCAAAAAACAACAGATGCTGGCAAGGCTGAGGAAAAAAGGGAATGCTTATGCATTGTTGTTGGGAATGTAAATGAGTTCAGCCACTGTGGAAAGCAGTTTGGTGGTTTCTCAAAGAAATTAAAACAGAACTACTGTTCGACCCAGCAATCCCATTACTGGGTAAATACCCAAAAGAAAATAAATCATTCTACCAAAAGACACATACAATCAAATGTTCATTGTGGTGGCATTATTCACAATTGCAAAGACGTAGAATCAACCTAGGTTCCCATTAATGGTAAAATCAAGAAAGGGAAGCAGAGCCAAGATAGCTGACTAAAAGCAGCAGTGATCGGGGACTCCCATGGAAAAAATCCAAAGCAGTATGTGAATCCTGCACTGGCAACCAAGATATACAGGTTCTGATATTAGGACTGACTAGGCAGCTGGCATAACCCACGGAGAGGAAGGAAGAGCAGAGTGGTGCGGCAGCCCACCTGAAAGCCACGCGGGGGCAGGGGAGCTCCCACCCCCAGCCAAGGGAGGTGGTGAGTGTGTGTGCTACCCAGCCCGGGAAACTGCTTTTTCCACAGAACGGTGCAACCAATGGATCGGAAGATCCCACTCATGAGCCCGTGCCACCAGGGCCTTGGGTCCCTACCATGAAGCCACACAGATTCTCACTCAACTAGAATCAGCCTAAGCCAGCTGGGTGCCCCGGGGGAGGGGCAGCCATCACCACTGCTCTGGTTGTGATGTCTAAGCCATTTGAGCTCCTTGGAGAAGGGCAGCAGCCAACATTGTGGCTGCAGGGCCTCTCTGCAGGATTTCCAACTCCAGCCAGGGGCTCAAGGACAGAACTCTGACCTCCCTGGGCCTGAGCCTCTACGGGGAGGGGTGGCTGTAGTCTCCACAGACCAGCAGACTTAGTCTTTCCTCTGCTAGCTCTGAAGAATCCAGGCATCCAAAACAAGTGGGTTTTCCCTCAGCACTGCGCACCCCCTACACCAAGAGACAGCCAAAGTGCTTCATTAAATGGGTCCTGCTTTCTGTGCCCTCGCCAACTTGGTAAGACTCACCAACAGGGGTTGTCAGACATCCTATACAGGAGTGTCCCTACTGGCATCAGGTCGGTGCCCCTCAAGGTCAGAGATCCCAGAGGAAGGAGCAGGCACCCGTCTTTGCTCTTCTCCAGCCTCCTCGGATGGTATCTCCAGACACAGGAGGGAACCGTATGAATAGGGTTTTAGGTGAGCCCCCAGCAAACCACAATAGCCATACGGAAGAGAGACCTGACTATTGAAAGAAAAACAAATAAACAGAAGGCAGCAACAGTATCAACAAAAAAAGTCCCCACAAAAACCTCATTTAAGGGTCAGCAGCCTCAAAGATTGAAATTAGACAAACTCACAAAGATGAGAAAGAATCAATGAAAACAATGCAAAGACCCAAAAGACCAGAGTGCTTCTTCTCCTCCAAATGATAGCAACACTTCTCTAGCAAGGGTGCAGAACAGGACAGAGGATGAGATGGACAAATTGATGGAAGTAGACTTCAGAAGGTGGGTAATAACAAAGGTCACTGAGGTAAAGGAGCATGTTCTAAACCAATGCAAAGAAGCTAAGAACCTTGTTAAAGTTTAGAGGAGCTGTGAACTAGAATAACCACTTTAGAGAGGAACATAAATGATCTGATGGAGCTGAAAAACACAGCACAAGAACATCATGAAGCATACACAATTGTCAATAGTCAAATTGATCAAGCAGAAGAAAGAATATTGGAGATGGAAGACTATCCTGCTGACATAAGGCAGGCAGAGAAGATTAGAGAAAACAGAATGAAAAGGAATGAAGAAAACCTCCGATAAATATGGGACTATGTAAAAAAGACTGCACCTACAACTGATTGGAGTACCTGAAAGAGACAGGGAGAATGGAACCAAGTTCGAAAACACACTTCAGAATATTAACCAGAAGAACTTCCCCAACCTAGCAAGACAGCCCAATATTCAAATTCAGGAAATACAGAGAACACCACTAAGATCCTCCACAAGAAGATCAACCCAAGACACATCATCATATTCACCAAGGTCAAAATAAAGGAAAAAATGTTAAGTGCAGCCAGAGAGAAAGGTGAGTCACCTACAAAGGGAAGCTCATCAGACTAACAGCAGATCTCTCAGCAGAAACACTAAAGCCAGAAGAGTGTGGGGGCCAATATTCAACATTCTTAAAGAAAAGAATTTTCAACCTAGAATTTCATATCCAGCCAAACTAAGCTTCATAAGCAAAGGAGAAATAAAATCCTTTACAGACAAGAAAATGCTGAGGAAATTCGTCACCACCATGCCTGCCTTGCAAGAGCTCCTGAAGAAAGCACTAAATATGAAAATGAAAAACTGGTACCAGACACTGCAAAACACTCAAAAATATAAAGACCAATGACACTATGAAGAAACAGCATCAACTACTGTGCAAAATAACCAGCTAGCGTCATGATGACAGGATTTAATTCAAACATAAATAACCTCAAATGTAAATGAGACTTAGACTCCCACACAATAATAGTGGGAGACTTTAACACCCCACTGTCAATATTAGACAGATCAATGAGACTGAAAATTAACAAGGATATTTAGGACTTGAACTCAGCTCTGGAACAAGTGGACCTAATAGATATCTACAGAACTCTCCACCCCAAAACAACAGAATATACATTCTTCTCGGTGCCACATGGCACTTTAAAATTGACCACATAAGTGGAAGTAAAACACTCCTTCGCAAATACAAAAGAACTAAAATCATAACAAACAGTCTGTCAGACCACAGTGCAATCAAATTAGAACTCAGGATTAAGAAACTCACTGAAAACCACACAACCACATGGAAATTGAACAACCTGCTCCTCAATGACTCCGGGGTAAATAATGAAATTAAGGCAGAAATCAAGAAATTCTTTAAAACCAATTAGAACAAAAAGACAATGCACCAGAATTTCTGGGACACAGCAAAAGCAGTGTTAAGAGGGAAATTTATAGCACTATGTGCCCACATCAGAAAGCTAGAGAGATCTCAAATCAACACCCTCACATCACAATAAAAAAAACTAGAGAAGCAAGAGCAAACAAATCCAAAAGCTAGCAGAAGACAAGAAATAACTAAGATAAGAGCAGAACTGAAGAAGATAGAGATAAAAAAAAAAATCCTTCAAAAATCAATGAATCCAGGAGCTTGGTTTTTTGAAAAAAATTAATAAAATAGATAGACTACTAGCTAGGCTAATAAATAGGAAAAGAGAGAAGAATCAAATAGACACAATAAAAGATGATAAAGGGGATATCACCACTGACCCTGAAGAAATACAAACTACCATCAGAGAATGCTATAAACACCTCTACACAAATAAACTAGAAAATCTAGAAGAAATTGATAAATTCCTAGATACATACACTCTCCCAAGACTAAACCAGAAAAAAGTTGAATCTCTGAATAGGTCAATGACAAGTTCTGAAATTGAGGCAGTGAAAAAGGGCCTACCAACCAAAGAAAAGCCCAGAAACAGACCAATTCACAGCTGAATTCTACCAGAGATACAAAGAGGAGCTGGTACCATTCCTTCTGAAACTATTCCAAACAATTGAAAGGATGGACTCCTCCCTAACTGATTTTATGAGGCCAGCATCATCTTGATACTAAAACCTGGCAGAGACACAACAAAAAAAGAAAACTTCAGGCCAATATCCCTGATGAACATCAATGAAAAATTCCTCAAGAAAATACTGGCAAACCAAATCCAGCAGCACATCAAAAAGCTTATCCACCACGATCAAGTCAGCCTCATCCCAGGGATGCAAGGCTGGTTCAACATACACAAATCAATAAATGTAATCCATCACATAAACAGAACTAGTGACAAAAACACATGATTATCTCAATAAATGCAGAAAAGGCCTTCAATATAATTCAACATCTTTTCATGTTAAAACTTCTCAATAAACTAGGTATTGATGAAAAATATCTCGAAAAATATCTCAAAATAATAAAAGCTATTTATGACAAACCCACAGCTAATATCATACTGAATAGGCAAAAGCTGGAAGCATTCACTTTGAAAACTGGCACAAGACAAGGGTGCCCCCTCTCACCGCTCCTAATCAACATAGTATTGGAAGTTCTGGGCAGGCCAATGAGGCAAGAGAAAGAAATAAATAGGAAGAGAGGAAGTTGTAATTAGTGTGTTTTCTTGCTTCTGATAAAGACATTCCTGATAAAGAAAAGAGGTTTAATTGGACTTACTGTTCCTCATGGCTGGGGAGGCCTCAGAATCATGGTGGGAGGTGAAAGTCACTTCTTACATGGCAGAGAAAAATGAAGAAGAAGCAAAAGCAGAAACCCCTGATAAGCCCATCAGATCTTGTGAGACTTATTCACTATCACAAGAATAGCATGAGAATGACCAGCCCCCATGATTCAATTACCTCTCCCTGGGTCCCTCCCACAATACGTGAGAACTCTGGGAAATACATTTCAAGTTGAGGTTTGGGTGGGGACACAGCCAAACCATATCAGAAGTTGAATTATCTCTGTTTGCAGATGACATGATTCTATACTTAGAAAACCCCACGTCTCAGCCCAAAAACTCCTTAAGCTGATAAGCAACTTCAGTAAAGTCTCAGGATACAAAATCAATGTGCAAACATCACAAGCATTCTTATACACCAATAACAGACAAACAGAGATCCAAATCATGAGTGAACTCCCATTCACAATTGCTTCAAAGAGAATAAATATTGACTTACTATAAAATAGAGTAATTAAGACAGTGTGGTATGGGTGAAAGAATACAGAAATCAATCAACAGAGCAGAATACAGAACCCAGAAACAGACCTATATGTAAACAAAGTCAACTGATCTTTGACAAAGGAACAAAGGCAATAAAATGGAGCAAAGACAGTTTTTCAGCAATAGTGTGGAAAAACCAACATCCACATGCAAAAAAGAAAAAAAGAATCTAGACACAGACCTTGGATCCTTTACAAAAAAATAATTATAAGTGAACATAGACTCATAGACCTAAATATAAAATGCAAAAACCATAGAAGACAATATTTTTTAAAGTCCTAAATTACCTGGTGTATTTTTTTATATTTTTAATGGACCTGACATTGCAAACATAGGCAAATCACTTTTTAGATACAACACCAAAGGCATGATCCATGAAAGAAAGAATTGATAAACTAGATTTCACTAAAATTAAAACCTCTACTCTGTGAAAGACAATGTTAACAGAATGAGAAAACAAGCCAGATTAGGAAAAAACATTTGCAAAAGAAATGTCTAATAACAGAATATTATTCAAAACATACAAAGAACTCTTAAAACTCAACAATAAGAAAATGGACAACCCAACTATAAAATAGGCCAAAGACCTTAACAGACTTCTCACCAAAGAAGATATACAGATGCCAATTAAACTTATGAAAAGATGTTCAACATCGTATGTCCTTAGGGATTTGCAAATTAAAACAATGAGAGACCACTACACAACTACTAGAATGGTGAAACTTCAGAACACTGGCCACACTAAATGCTGGCTAGGATACGGAGAGCATGAACTCCCATTCTTTACTAGTATATATGCAAAATGGTACAGCCATGTTCAACAAAGACAGTTTTGACAGCTTCCTACAAATCTAAACGTATCCTTACCGCACAATCCAGCAATCTCATTCCTTGTTATTACCCAAAGGAGCTGAAAACTTATGCCTACATGAAAACCCACCCACAATGTTTATAGAAACTTTAATTGTACTTGCCAAAACCTGGAAGCCACCAAGATGTCCTTCAGTAATTGAGTAGATAAATAAACTGATTTATCCAGACCAGAATATTATTCAGTACTAAAAAAGAAATGAATTATCAAGCCATGAAAAACATAGAGGAAACTTAAATGCATGTTACTAAGTGAAAGAAACCAATCCTGAAAAGGCTACATTTCATATATTCCAACTATATCACATTCTGGGAAAGACAAAATTATGGAAACAGTATAAAAATATTAGTGATTGGTAAAAAGATTAGGGAGAAAGAGATAAATAGGCTGAGCACAGAGGATTTTTATGACAGCAAAACTCTTCTGTATGATATTACAATGGTGAATACATGTCACTATACATTTGCCAAACTCCCCGAATGAACAACACCAAAAATAAACCCTAATATAAACTATAGACTTTGGGTAATAATGATGTGTCAATGTAAGTTAATTAATTGTGTATGCCACCCTGTTGAGGAATGCTGATAGGAGGTAGGTTGTACATGCATGGCAACAGGGAGTATGTGGGAACTCTGTATTTTTCCACTCAATTTTGCTGTGAACCTAAAACTGCTCTGGAAATAGAGTTTAATATTATTATTATTATTGTTATTATTATTATTATTATTACTATTTGAGATGGAGTCTTGCTTTGTCATCCAGGCTGGAATGCAGTGGTGTAATCTTGGCTCACTGTAACCTCTGCCTCCTAGGTTCAAGAAATTCTCCTGCCTCAGCCTCTCCAGTAGCTGAGATTACAGGTGTCCACCACCTTGCCTGGCTAATTTTTTTTTTTTTTTTTTGGATTTTTTGGATTTTTAGTAGAGATGGGATTTCACCATGTTGGCCAGGCTGGTTTCAAACTCCTGACCTCAAGTGATCCGCCCCCCTCAGCCTCCGAAAGTGCTGGGATTATAGGCATGCGCCACTGTACCTAGCCCAGTTTATTAATTTTTAAAGAATGCTTGCCCATTTGTACTAAGTCTCCATCTCAGTCTGCTACCTGGCATTTCTTGCACTTACACAAATTTGTCTTTCAACTCTCTGACCCATTTTTGTGGTCCCTATTCAGGCTATCACTTTTCATGAGCAAGCACTTACCTCTTCTATCTATTACCATGCTCTACCCTTCTCTTCCAAACCTGGTACACAGTTTAATGAACTACGATGTGTAGTGGTGGAGAGAGTTTGTATGGGCTTTGATTTAGAGTCAGACAAAACACATTTCACATCCTGGTTCTGCTTAGCCACTAGAAATATAATAATGTATAAACTACTTAGATATTCTGCACTTTAGTATCTTTTTCTATTCAATATGCTTAATAGTACTTGCATCATAGGTTTGTTGTATAGAATAAATGAGATAATGTATGCAAATATTAAAACATCAAACTGTGTCTGGCGTGTAGTAAGCACTCAATAAGTGCTAATTCACTTTTAACAAAATTTGGCTATCATTTTTGAAGCACTGACAATTACTGTCACCATGTCTGAAAATCTCTTAATGCTGGCCATGCCAGTTACTTGCTTTTTGGACCAAAAAAACATATTTCTTACATTTCCACAGCAAGCTACATTTCCCAGGCCACAGTGTCAGCTGGCTGACAGATAAGTCCAGCCATCAGGAGGCAATGGCAATAGATAGGAAGGCAGAAGGAAATGAGAGGCCAAGATATAGCTCATCTTCTCTCTCTTCCTCAGGCAGCCTCTTCCAGCAGCAACATCCGCAAGGGACAGGTTTTCGCTCCCTGGGCCCAGTTTCCCTGGAGATCCTCTGCCATTTAGCTACTTGGGATCAAGCAGGCCTAACTCTGAGGCTCCGGTAACACCACATCTTCCTTTGGTTCCCCAGTCCCATGTATGGTGGTGTTTTCTCCTGTAACAAAGGTCTTCACTTCCTCACCAACTTGTTTTTTTTGCTTTTCAGCTCTCCCAACCCTTGTAACTAGTTCCCAGTACTAATTCCCTCTATTTCAGTACATGCTATGTGCTGTGTTATCCTGAAGAAGCCAAGTCAGAGTTATCCAAATTAACAATGAACTTCTTCTTATATATTGGCCCAATGTGCATGTGATTATTTATGACACAGCCTTTTAATCAAGCTTTATTCCTATAAATCAAATGCCTATGTTTGCAAAGCTCATATTGTTAGCAGAGAGTAGAAAGAATTAAAGCAGTTTATAAGGCTTAGGGGCATTGCTGAGAAGCATGAGGTAATTTCTCTCTTTAACATAAACGAGTCTATTAGTCATGCATATCATCTCTTCTATGGGCAGCCAAAGACAACCATATTTTCAGGTGGCCATAATGAAGTACCCTATACTGAGTCACTTAAACAGCAGATAGTTATTGTCCCACAATTCTATAAGCTAGAAATCTGGGATTAAGATCTCAACAGGGTTGGTTCCTTCTGAGGGCTGTGAAATCATCAGTTCCATGCCTCTGGTGATTCAGTGGGGATTTTAGTGTTTCTTGACGTGTAGAAGCATCACCTAATCTCTGCCTTTACCTTCACATGACATTCTCCCTGTGCTTCTGTGTCCAAACTTTTCCTTTTTATGAGTATACCAGTGATATTGGATTGGGGCCCATCTTACTCCAGTATGACCTCATCTCATCTATTTGTATCTGCAATGACCCTATTTCTAAATAAGATCACTTTCTGAGGTACTAGTGGTTAGGACTTCAGCGCAATAATTTGTGAAGATGCAATTCAATCCACAACACAGGCCAAGGTGCTCATTAGGAGAATTTAATCTTTTAAAGGTTGCTGCAAAATCTAGATGCCTCTTTGAACATAATCTTTATTTTACTAAAATAGAAAATCTGCAAGTGTCTTTATTTTTTCTAGAGCATTTGGAAGAGAAAAGGGAGAAAACTCAAATGTAATCAATTCTTTCCCTCATTCATAACCCTAGGTACCAAGCGATTTATGAAGATATTAGTTTATGTTTCAAACTTGTATATGGTACTGAATGATGTAAATGTATGTAATTTATGGTGGCTCTTCCAATTAGTCCAGTTCCTTAAAAAGTCAGATCACCCAGAGACATTTGGGAGGCATATTAATTAGAATCAAATAAGACAGACTAGCATTATATGCCATCACTATAAAAGGCAAGGTAGAATCAGAAAGGGGTGATTTTCTATAAGCAATTACAGGAAGAGGAGATACTATACTGAAGGAAGGGAAGTGGAAAATAGGACCGAAATAAACTGAAATTGGTGCCCTGTATTCCAAGAAAGAAGGAGACCAAGATATTATTGCTTAAGACAGCCTAGAAAGTAGGAAAGAGATCAAATGTTAATATAGATATATAGCTTAAAGTCAAATAGGAATAAACTCAAATATACACCTCAAAAGCAAAGTTGCTATAACAAACTGTTTTTAACTTGTGTTTCTATTTTGATTAAATCAAGGAGAGCATGGGCATTATATATGGGAAGGGGAAAGTAGGTTGTCTACTACCCTCTCAAGGGTAAGCTCTTATTTATGGTATAGGTGCTTGGGAGAAATTATTTTATGGAGAAGATTGAGCAGAAAAAATATAAATTCCTTAAGTTTTAAGAAAATTTGCCCCAAAAGTCTTTGAATTTTAAAGAGATATGGAAAGTTAAAAATAACTTCACTTTTGAAGGCTCACAGTTGCTGTAGCTTTAAAAGAGTGAAAGGCTTGAATTCACCTTTAGGGTACTAACTTTCTTTGAGATTTAAAACCATCATCGTGAGTTTTTCTAATCATGAAAATGCAAAGCAAGTTCCTCTTCTGAAATTAAGAAGTTTGCTATGCTCTCTATGGTCATATGAGATAGTGGCTTTTTTGTGGTAAATAATGCATTTCTAGGTCCCTGTATCCTTTCAACAAATATTCGAAAAAATTATTTACATGGCAATGCCTCTGGAGATTATTGTTTATTGGAGGGGTGTGTGCCTGTCTGTGTGTGTATGTGTGCGTGTGTGTGTGTGTCCTTGTAGAAGCAATTAACATCTGGAGATTGGAATTGAGACCCTGAAGATTACAAGATCTCATATTCTCCTCAAGCTAGAGGACAACCTATAAAAAATAGATCTGCACTTAATAATGCTTAACTTAACCTTAAGTTTGTGTTTGTGGTCTAATGAATTTTTATGCCAAACAGGATATCTCAGATCTTGGACAATAAACTATGTCAGTCTATGCACCCTAATGTGAGTGCACTGTTGGAGACTAAAGACAAAGACGACTTACTATGGAGAGAGGATGGATAATCCTAAAATGGAAATGATTTGGGGATAGAAACTGAAGACTGAATCTTAGACTGGGGATGAGAAAGAGTTCTCCAACTTTAGATCTGTGCAGAAGGCTGACAATTCTCAAAGCACAGATTTCCTGAAGTCTTCCCAGAATGGTGGGAAAGAATGTTGGTATTTATGATGGACGTATAGCTAGTTTGAAGTTTCCCTGTATCGGGTACTCATGAGGATAATATTCTGTTATCCTCAAGTCTTAAAGAACAATTTGTTAAACATTACAATCTAATCTGTGCTTTGAGGAATTAGGAGCATGTCCATGTTTAGGACACAGTAGTATGGAAGACAGCACTTGTATTCTTCCACTTAAGATTGAATATTGACAACAGCATCTTCCCAATTTTTGATTAATTTTTGAGTGGGCAGCAAAGCAAGCTAGAGATCTGATTGTGTGGTTACCAGTGTAAAATCAGGCAGAGACAGAACATTATTAGAGACTAATGGAGGAAAAATTAAAATAAATAAATAAATAAATAAATAAAACTAAGGGAAAAATGGAGGATCTAATTTAAAACAATCCCAGTCTTCAAAAATGTTCTAGAAGGAAAATACATGTAAGGAGAGTGGGAGTTTTAGAATCAGGTTTCCATTATTACTCATATGGGAGTTACTAAGTGGACAACAGATACTTTCAGTTGTCTGTGTAACTTTTTCTGGTAAAGTTGCCAATTGTGAGGCTTAGAAGTTTCTATGCTTTGTGTCCTGTATTCTATATAGTATTAAGTGATTCACCTTTGGTAAATAAACTAATGTATGCTGTTCTTATGAAACCATTGTTTTTAAAAGTAAAGGCAACAGTACATTATTCATCTTTCCTTTGCACTTGCGATGATGAAGATCCCTGAGTAATAAAAAAATAATCTTATTTCAGCTAAAAATTTACTTTTCCTCTCTTCCCAACCCTCCTTACTCCCACACTTAAAACTTTTAACCAGTTCTGGGAAAAGGTAGAAAATGCTAAGTTCCACCTCCTCTCCCTGCTCATCCTTTGATAAGCCTGCTAATGAGTAGTGAAATAACCAAGAGGTGAGGAGAAGAAGAAAAAAGAAGAGAGGTTAAGGGGCCTGAATAATCAACACACTAATTAATCTCATCTGACTAATCCTTGATTCATAAAGGAACATGAAATATGTCCCCAAATATTAACATCACTCTGGCTAGATAGGCTATTGACATTCTCACAAGGCAAAGAGGGAAAAAAAAAAAAAAACACCTTTCCTGTAATTATCAAGTAAAAATGTTCAGGGAGTGTATTTCAGGCATGAAGGGGAGAAATAGTGTAAAGTTCTCTCAGCCATCTTCTGGTAGTAACCTAAATAGAAATAAATTGGATCTTATAAAGTTGATGAAAATAACAAATAACTATGTTTTTATATATTCCAAAAAAGAAAGAAATTTGGAAAGGGTAGATTGAGGGTCATGTAGCCCATCCTTCTGTCTCCTAACAGAACAACACTTGCATTTTCAGCCTCACAATTGGCAACTTTACCAGAAAAAAGTAGCTATTTTGCTTGGAAATACAGGTGGGTCCCACATTTTTCCCAATAAATATGTTCTGTGAAATATGCACAAATCAGATTTTTTAAAAATATACTCTATGAGATTCCTATCTCAAGACATCATGTAGTGGTTTTTGTTTGTAAATGTCATTTTAGGATTAAATAATTACTTTATGATTTTTTTAATTAAAGCATGTCTGTAGTCTAAAAAATAAGTTAATATATTTGTTCTACCCATGCCTCCCTAAAGAACAGAAACACTAATTAGAAATTGTATGGACTGATAAATTTGTGGTATTTACTAATAATATAGTTTACCCTCCTGGACAGAGAATTTCAGTCTTCCTCAAGCACTTCCTCAAGCTCTGTGCTTTACTGAAAGGAATGTTTTATTTGACTTCAGTGCTCCTCCTTGTCTAAGGTCACAATTAATTAGTGGCAGGGCCAGGTTGAGAACTTGCCCTTTGTTCTTTGTTTAATGTTCTTTCAATTGTACTACATCATTTGTCTTCAACACTGCCCTGTTTCGATCCTGTGTTCTGAGTACTCACTGGATCAAACATTGTCCTCAACTTGTCCATAGCTTCTTGTTCTACCTTCTACACTGGTTCTCTGCGTTTTCCCAACTTGTTATTGTCAATAATACAGCTTCATAATGCCCCTCTCCTAAAGGTAACCTTCAAGAGAATCAGTTTAAGGTTGTTCTAAAAAGAATACCAGTAACCAACTATAATTTCTCTTTTCTTGAGGAAACAATTATAATACCCTTTAAGACCAACCAGTTCAGTTGTTTAGGGGAGACAACACTGTGATTGGTCCCCAAGGTCAGCAATTACAGGAAGGAAAAATTTTTCCTTGAAAACTCAAAATTAACTCAAAAAATTGAGAGAACCAAAAAGAATTTTCTTCATTCTTCTACTTTTTTTGGTTTGTTTTTCATTTTCCTAGACTAAGTGAAGAAATTCAGATTAAATTACGTGCACTAACTAAGATTTGACCTGACTAATTTGTGTACTATAGAAAGAGACCACGTTCAAATGAGTTAAACACCTTCTGCGGCTAATTTGCTGCTCTCATAGGTGGGAGCAGGAGTGAAGAAAGAGAGGGGGAGAAGGCAGTGGGGAGGAGGAAGGAACAAGGAAACGAAGGAAGGAAGGGAGAAAGGCTGATAGATTATAATGAAGAGCTCTCAGAATTCATGGGGATTTTATTATTAAAAAGTGGGGGTTATATTTAGCCTTTATGATCCCCATTATTAGGCTTTCACTGCATTTTGATTTTCTTATGCCCTTAAATGCGTGAAAGAATAAAAAATATTCAGATAGCAGGATATGTTATGAGTACCTGGTCCAGGATAAAACAGATTCCACTTGACTAAACAGAACTAGATCCTCTGGTTCTTTTAGGGAAAATATATGCAACTCCCCCATACCAAGCAGGAAGCCAAATTATTTCTTTGTAAAGAGGAATGGAAGAGCAGAAAGGAATGAGAAAACATTTGTCATGCTAGCCTCACTCTAATGCTTTCTGGGACCTATTTATCTCTTGCTTATTATGTAGTCTATATAAAAGGTGCAGTCTCTAAAAGCTATCCTACAGCTCTGGAGAATAGTGAAAAGCCATATTCCATGGGCCTCACAGAGAGAACGGTTTCCCCCTTAGAATCAGGTGTGGCTCCCCATGGCTGCTCAACCTTAGAAACTTGTAGAGTGTCCACGGTCGAGGAACTACCAAGGTAATTTTGCTCTGGATAGAGCTCAGAGAGGAGCTGTTCTTCACATGCTATTGATCACAGATGGAAATATATCTTCCTTAACTGGGTATGCTGCCCTTTAAAGTCTCCCACTTCAATGTAATGGGACAGATTGAATATTTTTCCATGTTAGTGGGTGGAAGTTTTTCCGATGCCACCCAGTTGCTCTTTTCTTCCAGAAAGCAAAATACAGATTTCCTTTGGGTGCAACAGACATCAAGAAATAAAAAATAGCTGTCTCACATGCAATGCAAAATGACATCCAAAGAAATCACACATCAGAAATCACACATGGCAGAAATAAGCTTCCTTTTGAAATATTTTGGCACCTGACACAAGAGCAAAAGAATTGCACAGACCACCTGAAAAAAAAAAAGATTTCTGTTATAAAAATATTAATTAAATAATATATTTCTTACAGGCTGATCCTGAAAATATAGACTGAGGGCTGCCTATTGAAAAACAATACTTTGTGAAATATATTTTAATATTTAACAAACTAAGAAATAGCAGTTAGACCTGTAAGAACAAATTGAAGCTGGCTTGAGTGCCTACATAATATAGAATCTGTTTTCTTTGCTATAGCCTAAGCAAATCAGGTGCAATGGACTTGGCCCATTATGAACACTTTATGGTAGAGATAGTCAAATAGTCCCCAAGATTTTTTTAAGTCTCCTAAACAGGAAAAGAATCTCTTAAATTCTAATTCAAGTGAGTTCTAATTCATTTTATTAGATATAAATTCCAATATAGAATTTCAAAGGACTAATCATTTTTATTTTGAAAGTCATTGGTTCCTTTTGAAAATTTCTTCATGCTTCTTCTAGAGATAGTGAAATTCTCCCCCAAAATAAGTTAAAAGGTGATGCCCGGAGGCAGATTAAGGAAAAGTGTTTGCTTCATTCCTTGAAATGGCGCGTTTTTATATGTCTGCAAATACTAAAGACCAGAAAGCTTAAGAACTGAACTTCACATAGTACACCTGTGTGAAATATTAATGAGACAAGTTCCCAACCTGCATGTAACTCAATGAAAGAGTTACCTAGGCAGAGAATTGGCTCAGGAACATCTAATATATTGGTTGAAATGTTAGAGGTGATGTTTGAAGTTTGTAGCCTGTCAGAGCAAGTAAGAATATGAGCTAGTTCACTTGCTGCAATGCCTTACATCTTTTTTTTCTGGATTTTTCTTGATAGCTGGACAACTAAAATAATTTTAGCAGATAAAGTTCTCTAAATTATAGACCTGATGTCATTGCATGCTTCCTGGTCTTTCTCCTAAGGTGAGAGAACTCTTTGTTCTATGGATAATCTTACTGTAGGCAGAAAGCAAGTGATGAACAAAATGTTCAAAATGTTTTCCTCATTCTTTAATTTTATACTGATTGTAACATGGCCAGAGCCCTAGGTTTTCTTGTAACCCTTTGCTATGGATATCAATGTGAACTTAAATATTAAACCTAGGAAGAAATGACCTAATTTTGCAGGTCTCTGAAAAGAGGTATTTTGTCATATTTTGGGGGGTCAGGTATTTTGCCAATTTTTTATGTGATTTCATTAGATTTTTGTGCACATCAAGTACAAATGGCTTAACCCTAGAGGGAACACTAGGGACATAATGTCCCTCCAGTGTTCTCAATTTTTTATTCCAAAAACATTTATTGAGCTCTTACTATATGCCAGGAATGGGGTTAGGCTCCAGGGATACATAAAAAGGGCTGTGACAAAAATATAAACTAAATACCATGGCACAGAGGAGACAGCATAATTCTGCCCAAGAGAGACTGAAAACTTCACTAAAAAGATGACATTTGAGCTCTGAAATATGCACAGGAATTTTCCTGGTGGAAAAAAAGAAAAAATAGGAAAAGAACTTCAAATTTAAGGAATAGCATATGCAAAAGCAGGAGGTCCTAAGAGTCTAATGTAATCAAGAAGTGAGAAGCTCTTCCAACCAGGCATAGAATAGAATACATGATGGGAAATAAGTTGTAGCCAGCATAATTACAAGTGAATATGAATTTATTCTCTAAACAGCAGCATTATGAATTCCTAAATCCTCATTTTTAAGGTGATTCTATATATGGCTGGCTCTACCCTGCCTTACGACCTTACTCGGAATTGTAACAAGTACATGCTGTGGAAAACTGCCAGTTGATTTGACAGAGAAAATTGATAGAACATACTTTCTTGAGCAGAGGGACTGTGGGTACCTTAATTAGAATGGAATAGTAAGCAAAATCCTGGAAATGGTGTGTGAAAATAAAACAAATCCTATGTCTACAAAAAGAAAATTATAGAGAAAATTTAGATAAAGGAAGAAACATTATAACCTTGGATACATTGGATGAACTAAATTGAGACCATTAAGCTGTGCACAAAACAGGATGGACACAATAGCAAGTGTTTGAGAAAGGAGAGATAAAAACATAAATAAACATTTTTCTTCTGTACTTGTGCCTAAATATAAAAGCTATTGCAGCCGGGCACAGTGGCTCACGCCTGTAATCCCAGCACTTTGGGAGGCCGAGGCAGGCGGATCACCTGAGGTCGGGAGTTCAAGACCAACCTGACCAACATGGAGAAACCCAGTCTCTATTAAAAATATAAAATTAGCCGGGCATAGGGGTGCATGTCTGTAATTCCAGCTACTTGGGAGGCTGAGGCAGGAGAATCACTGGAACCCGGGAGGCAGAGGTTGTGGTGAGTCAAGATTGTGCTACTGCACTCCAGCCTGGGCTACAGAGCAAGACTCCATCTAAAAACAACAACAACAACAACAACAACAACAAAAGCTATGGGCAATGTTTTACTTCATTGTTTGGGGGGAATGTTATAAAACTATATGATACATATAATAGACTCCAAAGATTTATTCTAAGACTTCCTGATCCATTCACTTAGTATGGCCCAGTCACTGGGTCATTTCTCTACAGATGAGAAATTCCATAATAAATGGGAAAACATGGGAAGCTTTTAAACAGACAAAAAGGGAGTAGTATGAGCAGATTTGTTTCTTAAAAGATAAACACTGGTGACAATATAAAGAAAGGCCTAGAGTTTAGAGAACCACTAGATCCTATGATGCATAGTGAGTAAATGAAAACTGTCATGGCTTAGATGATGATTTGTACAGAGTATAATAATAAATGAAAACCTAATATCTGGTCATTGCTGCTGGTTTTCCAATGAGAAAGGCAAGATGAGCTTGCAACAGCCAATGTGAGCTACTGTATCAGTATGAACCACTCCTTTCCCCGTACCTGCTGGGATATGGCATGGCTTATGCGGTGTGAGAGGACCTAGAGGAAGTCTAGTTAGTCTGGTCAGAAGACAGAGATGTGATCATGCAATCTTGCAGGAAGCATTTGGAGGGAAAGCACAGCAAAGGGTTACTTTTCATAGAAAGCAAGATGGCTTTCAAATAGTCCCAGAAATGTTGGTAGCATTCTGGAATAAATAATTGTAGCCATAATAGAATGTCATTTTAGAAAATCATCATGTGAGTGAAAAACATGGAATGCTTATATATTCTTTCAAGAGTAGAGAACTTATTTGAGGAAACATCACCTTGGCTTGGCCATTAGACTTTCCAGTTTCTTCTGTGGCTGGTAATAATTAATCATTTTAACATAAATCAAGATCATTAAGAAATTCAGAAGTCATCTATTAAGATTTATGCCTTATATAATAGATGTGCTCCTTAGCTATTTCTTCAGCATCAACCATTTAAATCCAGTACTTTTAAATGTCCTAAAAGGAAAGTATTTATTTAAAGATTTCCTGTGATAAATGTTTGGTAAAGGAAGGATCCTTTGGTAACATGAATAATTCTTCCATATTTATAGTTTAGTCACTTTGAATTTTCATATACTGAATTATGCTTTCTTAAAGGGAATATATCCTGACTGGCAATGATTTTTATGTTACAAAGTGTATATCTTATACTTATTTCAATTTTCAGTGCAAAATGAATGCAAACATTATTCCAATCACCTTTTTACCATAAATATGCCAAAATATCTTAGCCAATGAAAAACTCTCCACTGCTAAATACATGTTTTCATGAAAAACAAATTAGATGCATTTTCCTAAGGAAAAGAATTTAAATGCATTCTTTGAATCATGCTCTACAATCTTTTTCCAAAGCAGCTTATGCTGTATCTTACAAAGTCAATGTTTACCAGTATATTTATATAATTTTCTTTCTTTTGTTTTCCCTCCATTTGGCAGAACACAGAGTACTATATAGGCATGTGTCTGAATATTTAGCCATGCTATGCCAGGAGTCCACACAATGCTTAGGACTGTTTAGTTTAACAAAGAATGTGTGGCTTTTGCATGTTCTGGCACGTATGAGTGTCTCCAAATCTCTGCTAATGGCAGAACATACTTGTCACTTGAAATTCACAAAAGTGCAATGAGTTTAAACAAACCACCACCAACCTTATACATACTTCTCTTTTAAAACTTGATGCAAAAAACTGATGAGTATTGGAAGCATAAAAAAGTACATCAAGACGTAGGGAAACAAACTCTAGGGCCACCTCTTTGTAGTTACCTTTTGAATTTGCCCACGTTCTGCTTCTAGCAAGGAGATAACATGAAGCTCAAAATATGATTTATAACCTTCATATAAATCATTTACAAATGCCGGAACAACCAAATATTTAGTAGTCAGCCAATCTGCCTATAGTTTATATCTAATTTGTGATCTTTGGGTTGGAATATTGTGCAGTTAAATTAGGTAAACATTACTTTAAAATTAGGGATTACTGGCTTTAAACATAATAAACTATTTTTCCTTACATAAAGGAGAGCTAATGGGAACCTAATTTTTTGTCTGTGGATTTTTATGGATAACAAGGAGAATTTATAATATCGAAGCAAGTGAAATGAACCATTCACTGGTGGAAGTAATGTTATAAATGCCAAACAAGCTATTTTACCTATACTGAGAAGAAGTTTGCTTTGTCATCTATCCCAGTGCTTCTCAAATTTTAATAAAATGTGTGGGATACTGTCAGAAATACAAATTCTGACTCAGTAGATATGGGTTGGTGGCCTGAGAACAAGTTCTCATGTGATAGTGTTGCTACATTCTACAGACTGTACCTTGAAAGCAAGAATATAGATGGTTTTTAAATTTTTAAGGATCTGTTCTGTATCCTCTCTTTATGATGAATCAGTTAGCTTTTCCTAACTTTATTTTTACCTAGTTTACTCAGTATTCTTTGCAGACTTGCAAGGATAGAGCATAAAGACTCGGTAGTAGTATGGAAATAACATAAAATATATTCCAAAGGCCTGTGTTCGAATTACAGTTCTTCTGTATCTAGATGTATAGCCTTTGCCTAGTTGCATCAACTGAGACATAATTTTCTCTTAAGTAATTTGAGAATATGTAGTTATCTAGTCAATGGAGATGTATAAAAACAAATGAGATTATACATGTGCAAACTTTAGATGAGCACTATAAATATTTTAGTTGTTGAAGTTACTATTATGTCACTGAGTTATTGGGCTACATTAATTATTATTCTGTGTTTTACACAGTGTTGTGATGTATCTTGTATTCTCCTGATCACCATTTGAACCTTCTATCTTTCTTTTGAGTATTATAACTCGCCAGTCTGGAGTTGCAAGGTCTCTAATGTATATTCAATGATTCCTCCCCCACCCACAGAGGGCGGTATTGTGAAGAGGGAAAAAAGAAGCATGAATTCTGAAAACATGCATGCGGAGGTTGAGAATCTGAAAATTTTGTTTCTTTAATGGTGTACATGACTGAGTACCTCCTGTAAATGCTTTATGTACCATCGGAGTACCCAAAGACTTCTGACCTGGATTACCTTTCTTCCTAAATTTATTTTTGCAGGTAATACCCACCCCACTTTCAAGACCCAAGTCCAAAAGTACACTTCCATGAAGTTTTCCTGATCCATGTTCCACCCACCCTTTCCACTACACAAACACACACAGCAGGATGTGACTTTCTGTCTTTTGAAAACTTATAGTAAGATTCTCTATGTAACATCCTTTTTTATAGGACTGGTCTATGATACAGACATGAATTTCATTTTTAAACTCCCCTTTAAATAGTTAACTACATATCTGCCTGCCTTAAAATTTGTGTCCCCTGAAATACTTAGCACATTGCTTTGTAAATGCTGGGTACTCATTTAATTATTAAATTGAACTATATTATAATTTCTTAGATTGGTTGTCTTTACATTTTTAATCATATACTCTCATTGATTGAAAATTTCAAGCTTCTATTCTCAACACATTTATTTATGTATAAATTTTACTTATACATATGCTTACTATATTATATGAATACAATATATGCATATAAAATATGCAAAAATTATAAGTTTAAGAGATATTTTGAAAGTTTTATTATGTAAAATAAAAAACAGAAATGCTAATTTTTCCCAAATCCACTCATCAAAGTTTAGAATTCTCTGTCTTATGAATATAATGAGATAATGACTTCTCTTCTACATTACTACATAACTAGTGTCTGAATAGTTCATTGAAATATTATTCTGTGTGCTTATTCTTCGATTTTACTACTGAGTTTAGAAAACAGAAAAAGGAAAAATAATTCTGAACCAGGAGCTCTTCCTGTTTTCTGTAAAATCTAAGTGCATTGAGAAGATGAAATTAGGTTCCATGGAGGAAGACAGGAGAGAGCAGGGGAGAGGAAAGGAGCAGGGAAAGGAGATGACAGGGAGAGAAAGAGAGAGTACATTGGTAGATCCCTGGTGTAGAAAGAGTGGGAAAGGCAGCTGGTCTCAGGATTACTAAAGAACTGAGTCCCATTCTCACTCTATCAGATAGATGAGTTAGCAGGCTGCGGAAAGGGTGACTGGATAGTGGAACCAGTGTTCCTAAACCTGGCAAAGTTCTTCCTAAAGCTCAGGTGACGTCAAAGCAGATAATTTTTGGAGTTCACGAGATCACCCAGGGTTGGACCTGGGTATATCAGTAGTCTGATAACAGTCTGCCAGTTCTGGACACTAAACAGTGCCCCCAGTTCCAAAGGCTTTGATAGGAAAAAGGAGCTCTAATAATGACTGAGATGAAATTTGATGCCAGCCAGGCTGGATGCAATTGCAAAATCAAAAGAAAGATGATTTAAAACAAGGATGTGATTATTCTTGCACGCCTGAGTATATGTACCCAGGTATTTATACCTGCCACATGTTCTATCTTGAATCTACTACTTCTTTGCATAGCTGTTTTGATATCTCTTTTGATGGTGCTTTTTGATTCTCTCATTTCTAATTGGTAACATTTAGAATAGTTCCTCGTATGTATTATGTTCTCAGTCAATATGTTTAAGAGATGAGTTCATTTATTAGAAACTGTTATTCATCTTATAAATTATAGGTGTTTATATCTGATTTTGTTTTTATAATTAAACTCTTACTTAATTCAGCAAATCACAATTACCAAACACCCAAAATCAAAGGTGTTGAAATTAAGAAGTGGCAACATTCCTAGCAAAAGTTAATTAGATGAAAATTTTAACATCAAAAATTAAAAATGATGGTGAAGGCCAACTCATGGTGACCATGAGTCGCAGGTGCTATCACACAAAGGCTAAATGCCAAGTGGTGAAAGTAATTACTATGTAGGTGATTACCAAGGAAATAGAATTCTTTTTCATTATTACAAGGTAAGCTTTTTTTTCTCGCTAGAGAGGTTTTGATATCCTATCCATGCTACCAAATGTCTTTGCCAATAAGACTAACTGTATTTTTCAGTTTATCACTATGTAAAATTGTCTTTCTAGGTGAGATTATCACTAAAAATAAAAAAACCCTACATTTTAATAAGAAGTGAGGATAGCTACACTATACTTTGAAAATATTTAAAATAAGTTGATTATTGAATAATTATCTTCTATGTGAAGTTTTGCTCATTCACACAAGTACCTCCAATCTAACTCAGTAATTAAATCTTTCACCACAACTTGGATCTGAATCTACTCATTGCGTGCTCTCAATGTATTGTATAATATGTCAGTTTGCTCCAGAGTACTTCACACAATTACATCTTCCCATCTAGAATCTGGTTCTTTTGCTTCAGGGGACAATAGGTTCTACTGAAACATCTTAAGGAGTCTGATACGTTATATCTCTGATGAAACACAATTACTAACTCCTGTTTCCACACACCCACAGTCCTTTAACCCTGCTTACATATTTAATGGAAGTGAAATGGTGCAAACCCCCACCTTGTCTACATCTATTAAATTCTATTGAGTTCTTGAACATCCTATAAGGTAGACCATCTTTTAGAAGTGTCTTATAGGAAAAATAAGTAGAAGGCATATATAAGGAAAAGATGGATACTAGTTATAAGAAAAAAATTAGTTAGAAAAGAATTATTGGATTACAGAGATTAGTAAAAATAATAGAAATGATAATCATCTCTTCCCTTTTCCTATCCTTCTGAAGGTAAGTTGCACTAGATTGGTGCGCTCCCTCTCCTGGCGTTTCCCGCATCTTGTTTACCACATCTTACATTATTAAGGGAAAAGAGAGAAGCATGGACGCGTTCTCTCTAAGAGATCTTTGTTGTTGGTCTCATACATGCTAAGAATATTTGAATTGGTACGAAGTACAATTAATTTTTTATAATTAAGGCAAAAGAAATTAACTAAGCTAAGTCACTCTTATAAGAAGCTTAATAACCCATAATCTTTTACTATGTCTTATAAGGAATGGGGTGATAATTTAATTTTATATTCTAATTTATTAGATTAGCACATCATTTCAAGCCATGAAGTCTCACTGAATAACAAAAACATTCATTTTTTGAGGCTTGGTTACAAACCCAATATATGAAGGGTCTGTTTATTACTAATGTTTTCTAAAGCCAGATATTGTTCAGCCAATTAAATTTTGTTGGAAAACAACTTCTCATGCCCTTAATAACTTTTTTTCTTCAGTGGAGCTCAGTATATTTTACCCAGTAATATATTAACACTATATGTCTATGAATTACAATGAAAAAATTCTAAAAAAGTTTAGAAAAATTGGTCATGTTAAGGTTATATTAGGTCAAAAATAAGCCCCCAGAAGAGCACTGGACTCAAGCGAATAAAAACATTCCATTCATGGACCACTTGAACATGTCCTGCAGAGGTCTATAGCTTAAAGAAAAAATTTAATTTCTTTGCCTTGAAGGAATATGTTAAAACTAGGTCTGTCCTGGTTAGTATGGGTATTGGGATTATGTTCTTGGCTAGATCATGGTTAGTGACGTTAACCGCCATGGTTAGTGGGGTTGTCATTGAGAAAGGCAACATATAAATCTGTTTCAAGGAGTTTAGTTATTTGAGCTTCACATTTGCAGGTTCACTGTGTTTGCAGATTCCTGGAGGAGTAGAACCTAACAGTCTACAACTAAGCTTGCATCAAATAATATGAACAAAATAATGTAAATGATATGAAGAATTAAATAGTTTTAGATGTTAATTTTAAACACTTGTATTACCTGAAATCTACCCCAAGAATTAATCTGAGACCCAACATTGTTAGCCATTTACAATGATTAAAACTACATTGCTCCCCTCCTTTATTACTTGGAACTCTTGTAAACAGCAACTATATCTCTTTTAGGATAGTATACACATCACATGTTTAAAAACATGATATTTTATTCTTATTAAACATTCTAAAGGCATTTTGAGGAATATACAGGACACAACTTCTAGGGACTGTGCGTTCTTGAAAGAATGCTTGCAATTTTCTAAGACTTCATATAGCAATAACACTTTTTATATAAAACAAATACAGCATTATCAGAGAAAATGGTCAGCATAATGTCTTGGTACCTGCCTAAATGAGCTTACAAAGGTAAATAATATTTTAAATGCATAACTCTGTGTAAAAAAGGGTAGATGGCAAAAACTACAAATGACTTTGGGATCCTGGGTAGGGAGGTAAAAGGGAACTGGTGCAGATAAATATTGAAGGAAGAGCAAAAATTTAACCTCAGCCAAGAATAACTGGATAGAATTGAAATGGGTAAAAAATAAAAAATGAAGAACACTCTCAATAAAGGGAAAGATATCTTCACAATTCTTATTTAGTGGCTAGAAGAAAGTAAGAGGCTGAACAAGAAGCCCTAAAGTGTTTAGGAGGGGGTGAAGAAATTACATTCCCTCTACTGAAAACTACAAATTATTTTCTTCCAGGGAGGATGCGTGTCTTTTTATACTCTGCTTAGCAAGAAGGGAAGCATAGATAAATTTCATTAAAAATAAATATAAAAAGATGTGTCTATAGCAAAGGCATAATCAAGCATGGATCCAAAACATATTTGCTCTCTTTGAAACAAATGTTGAACAATTTACTTGTATAGAAAGGTTAAAAATTCTAGTCAACAGGTATCATTATGTGTGTAAAACAGCAGAGAAAACAGCAATACAAAATAACTAATATTTTTAAATGCCAGCAAAGATTAAAGATCTTTAAAAGTTATTTTCTAATAGATCCTCTACTTTCGTCTACAAACAATTCATGTTTCATTAATGTTTATGTGGTTTGGATAAGACTTATGAAAGCCATCACTTAAAATTGGAATATAGATGTTTTTACATTTTTCTGACAAGTCATATATAGTGAATCAGTATCAGTTCTCTCTTTTAGTGTTTGGAGTAAATCCTTAAATAAAGCAAAGGACCTTTAATTTTTATTACTTAAATGCTTAATGCATAGTTTAATTTTTAATGTGGACTTTTAGATGATGCCAATTTTTATTAAGGTTAACACACCCCTACTAGAATTAGCACAAATTAATACAAAAATCAATGAATCCCTTCTCTCAAATTCCTAATGTGAATAAGATGCAGCATCCCCTCACATCAAGAAATGAACAAAAACCATTCAATGAGAATGAGATACAAATAAGCAGTATAGGCTGTTAAAACAGACAGTAGGGGTCTGAAGGTTACAATTTTGTTACATTTTTAGTATAATGTAACATCAAAGCTTGAAAATTTTATTTCTTTTTTTCTTTCTCTTTTTCCTTAGAGTCTTTTAAACCAACAGCATTAATGATAAATGGTATATGTCAAACTCTAATAACTAAAAAATCCCGCACCTTTCTGAAACAGTCTCCTATATCCAATGTCATTTGGGTATATGTGAGGTACATTGTACTCTTCGGATGGACTTTTAAAAAATACATATGCCACATTAAAAGAAAGAGACAAAATTGATGTGATATGTATGTGATAAAATCTGACCAGAAAGACCCTCTCATTGCATTTATAATGGATTGGCTTTAACTTGTATTTCTTTTCATGGTACATTTAAAGAAGTCTAAAGTCTATTCTCTCTCCCTGAGCAATAAGCATTACCTATTTTACTTTTTGTAAGTGAATTACTTTGAGGATTTCAGTTGAGTACTTTACCTAAACCCCACAGATAGATGCCATATAATTGTTGCCACATTCTTGATTATCATCAAGATACATTGCCATGATAACTTGAAATACTTGGCAAATTTACTGGACATTTTATATAGTGCATCTTGGTTTGAAAATGTCAAGCAAAAAAAGTCAGAGCAACACCGTCTTTATAAGCTCTCCACTGAATGTGAAGGGCTGCCTAAGACACACAGCTCTGACTGCCGGGTTCCTAATCACAAAGCTAAATGACTCGGGTGTTATCAAACTTATTTCTTCCAGGTACTCAAGTACCAAAATGACAAATCATAGGGGTGGCTGTTAGCCTGAAGACACTTCTGTTCTATTATTTAAAGTCTGTTTTTTTTTAATGTCTGAGATTTCTATGTGGAAAAAATAATGAACTTTAAGAAATGTCACTTTTACTAACAGAAATTATGGCTTGAACACCTGAATATGAATATTAAATACAAAAAAGTACATTTAAATAATGTTAAGGTTGTGACACAAACTGACAAAAGCAGCAAAATTCAAAGTTAAGGATGACACTCCACCTTAACTCACCCTGTTAAGAGGGGGAAAAGGGCAGCAGAGTGTACAGCTGGGAACGCTATGTTGGCCTTCATTCTCTGTCGCCTGATTGTGTCAGACGGTGTATTACCCTCCATAATATTTAATTGGTTTTTGGCATTTGATTCCCTCTCTTTTGCTTAAGAGAATTTTTGGTGCTCATTTATAAAATGTCATTTGGAAACCTATACATATTGATACTATACTTTTGGGGGTGACTCTTGAGAGGGATATCATTAGAGTTGTTGAGGTGTGTGTGTGTGTGTGTGTGTGTGTGTGTGTGTGTGTGTGTGTGAAGGGAGAGGGATATTTATCAAACAATGTGAGCATCTAAGAATAATAATAAAAACTAACAATTTTCAAGTGTTTGCTCTGTGCCAAGCATTATTTTATGTGTTTACAGGTATTAATTTCTTCAAACTTCATTTTTAAAAAATCTATAAGGAAGTTACCACTGTCATCATCATTATCATTATACTCATTTTACAGATGGGAAATTTAAGCCACAGTGACCTTGGCCAAGATCACAAAGTAAATAACTACCAAAGTCAAGATTCAAATCTGGACTCCAAACAAGTTCTTAACCATCATGGCCAACAAAAATAAAAGTGACCAGGAATGTCACCAAAATTGAGTCAACAGATTCTATTACAATAGCTAGTACATGGCTGTAGCCAATTAATATATTCTAGTATTAATCAAGCAGAAATTATACATTAAGCATCTATTATATGTAAAGCGTCAGAGTATGTGCTTTGGATAAATGGAAGGAAGCAAGAAGAACTAACATTTATAAGAAACCTGATACATGCCGAACACTTCGCTGAGTACCATGCATATATCTCACCTAATTGTTTCAAAATCACACCAATATTTGAATTACAATTATGGTTTTAAAAATGAATAAACTAAAGCTCAAAAAGATTCAATAACTTGACCAAGTCCCCACACAATTCCGGGTGTTGCCCTATATTATCTGTGCAAATTTTTTCAAGATACCTAGCTTCTCTGACCCTTTTTTTTTTTTCACTTAATATAGAGAGAGGAAAACAGACCTCCTAGGGTTATTGTGGTTCAATCAATCTTGATTTTTCCAAAAGAAATCTATTGCCAATCTATAAAACAACAAATATTTGCTTGAAGCCAACAATGTGCCAACTACCTTTTTTGGGGATTGAACCTTTTAAGAATAAATTAATGCTGGTCATAGTATATCATATAAACTGTTGGTAAAAAAAAAAAAAAAAAAAAGATGATTAGTGGAACTTAGCTCTATGTCACTTCCACTTCTATTAATGTCTATCAAACAAGATGGATGTGACATAAAAACATCCTATTATATTACTAAAAAGAATCCTGGAGTTTATCTCAACCAAACTTCTTTGTATTGGTGCATAAACTGAGTTTCTCCCACCATTATGTAGCCTGCCTGAACTAAACCACGGATTAATACAAAGGTCTCTGAAGCCCAGTTGAACACATTTCTATTTCACCATTCTTTACTTTGTCATCAGTTGTAGAAACTATCTTTACTTTAGAAATGCTACACTGTCTCTTGATCATTTTTATCTAAATTGATGATACAGTCATTGATAATTCAAAAGTCATTGATGATAATAATTTATTAGCTGGTAATTCTTTGCCACCACTCCAGATCCAGGTTCCAGCCTTTTCTGCCCTGTTTGGAGCAGTGGACTGACCCACGCAGACACAGGATGGGTGTGGAGGTCTCTATTTCTGTGCCTCTCCTTTAGCAGCACTTTCACCCTCCATGTTTTCTCTCCTACTGAGTACAAGCACAGCTCCTGGCTCTAGGTTGTCCTGGCCTCCAGGAACTTTATTTCCTCCCACGGCTTCTTCTGGCCTAAGAGTGATGGAGTCAATAGTATTATTTTTGACCCATACTCAGGGAACCTCATTGTAGATGAAACTCATATCCTGGCACATTAAACTTAGACACGGCTATGTGACCAATTTGGCCAATGAAGAGCAAAACAATTTGCGTAATTTCTCAAGAGAAATTTTAAAGCCAACCTTTACCATGTTCTTATTTTCTGCTGTCATAACTAGCAGTGTTCTTATAGAAGCTGCATCATCAGCCTGTGTCCTAAGGGAAGACAACAGGGAGCAGAACCACAGCTGACCCACAATAACATGTTCAAAATAGAGCATGAGTTGGAAATAAGTGTTTTTAATTCATTTATTTGGAGTTTTTATTACCATTGCATAACCTACCTCAGTGGTTTTTAATTTTTAGCATCTACCAGAATGAACTAGAATGCTCACTAGTCCCACATGCAGAGTTTCTGATTCAGTGGGTCCAACATAAGAACTGAGAATCTGCATTCCTGACAGATGATATTGATGCTGCTGGTCCAGGGGCCAGAGTCTGAGAATCACTGTCCTAGTTGCTCGTGACTGATACAGATGGGATGATTTCATGCTATTAGTCTCATGTAGACTCCACTGCCTGCTTTTGCTTCTTTAACACTGCCCACGCCTCTCTACAGAATGATTTTTATTAGATTCTCTTCAGTTGAAACCATCCAGGTGGAAATTCTCCTTCAGGCTAGGAACCCAACACCTTGAAATAAAGTTGTTCCTGACATTGTTCAAAAACTATGAACATATGTTATTTCTTATGATCCACACAACCACCTTGAAAGTTGATAGCACAGATATAACTTAGTAAATGAGGAAAAAGAGTTTCAGATAGACTGAGACTGGTCCCTCTGGGTGGCTAATTTGCTTCAAATCTTAGAGTGAATTTAGGTGGCTCCTACTTCATATTCTTTTTATAACACACTATAGACAGTGTTGTAATATAACCTATGAGTTTTTGTGTGTGTGTTTCCTCTTAATAGTGCATTTCTAATTGCATTTTACTTTTAAAATGATAGAGACTAGTTTCAATCCCCAGAGGGAGCAAAAACCATACTCTAAGCTTTCTTAGAAAGGAACAAAATAACATATGTTCTAGGGACAAACTTAACTTGACCAATAGTGAACTCAGCAAAGAATGGCAAGACACTTAGCCATAGGATTTAACAATACCTAAATTAGTTTTTGGTCCCTGATTACCACAAACTAGGCATCAGGAAAATGCAGAAGGGTGCTTGATATTGAATTAGAAATTTTAATTATTAGTACAATAATCCTGAAGTCTTTCCATCAGGACCATTATTCACATATATGAATACAATAAGTTATGCTCTTGAAAAAGAAATCTTGAAACAGTTCACATTTATGAGAAAAAATGTAAAGGTGGATAAGCTTACTGGATGTGCTTTATACTTTATTTTTATTCAAATTTCTTTTTATTCAAGTTTCAGTATCAAATACTAGGGCTTATTATTACAGAAGTGTAAACGTGTTTAAAAAGATTTCCATTGCAATGGAAGATAATCTAAATGTTAGTCAATAATAAATTATGATACTTCCATTTAATGGAATGCATATTATATATTTAAATGAAAGAGTATATTGCAAAACAGCATGTACTACATGAGTTCAGTTTTTCAAATGTGTATGTGTATATGGGTACATACACAATTATACAATAAATATTTGGAAAAAATTCTAGTATATTTAGCAAAAGGTAAATAATGGTCATCTTAGGATGAGTAGTATAGATGGAATTCATTTTCTATATTATAGTTACATATTTTCTGATTTTGCAAATTTCTGGAAAAAAGTAGGTAAATTTCTGAATTTATAAGTTTTCTAAATTTTGGCAATAAACAGACATTGCCTTTAGAATACCTGTATGACAGATGAAATATAATAGTGGTGTTCAAAAAAAAATAATGAAAGAAAGAGGCAGATGTTTTAAGGAGCTAAAAGTAGACACGCAAGAATATACGGTGGTTCACAAGTTTAGAGAGTAGTCTAGAATAATAAAAAATTAAAAATAACAACAAACAGCATAAATAATTTTATATTTATTAGGTTATTTTATGATAAAAATTCTTAACGAACTAGATATAGAAAGAATGTACCTCGACATAATAGAGACCATGCATGACAAACCCACAGTTAATAACATACTCAGTGGTGGAAAACCGAAAGCTTTTTCTCTAAAATCAAGAGAAAGCAAGCATGCCCACTCTCACCACTTCTTTTCAACATGTATTACTTTTTGAATATTTAGGAATTATTTTACAGTGTGGAGATTTTGTAAAATACAAAAAAAGTTAAGTAAAATTAAAATTAAATTACAACTAGGATTGTGTTTTGTGTTTAGGAGTATACTTTTAATTAATATTTATAAATGAATCTACCAGATTAAAAGACATAATTATAGAATTTAGGCATTTACAGTGGAACAAATGTTCTTTAACATGTTGGAAAAAAAGATGCTACCTGCATAATTGATAAACTATAATTAGAAGAAAAGATTAGAAGTATAGAGAATTACATCTCCAGAAAACCAGAGGAAGAGGTGACTTGGATATCTCTTGAACATTCCTCTTAGTTATTGACAAACTATCAGATTAAAAACAAAACAGTAAAATCAAAAGAATTTAGTCAATATGTAAAATCTGTCTTTTACTTAGAGTTTAGGTTTACTGCTTTACCTAATGAGAGCCAAAAGCTGCCATTGCTTAATCAGTGAAAGAGGTAGGAAGTATCAGTCAGGGAACAAAAAGCAAGGAGCAGAGAGCTTCTAAACAAGACTCTGAGCTTTCTATTTTTTGCTGTGTGGTTAAGTTCCCTTCCAGGGTGCTGAATGGAAGCAACCGGCTTGCTTGTGCAGAAGGATTATCAGTAGTAGACACAGCTGTTCAGGTCTGGCACACAGTGGTTTGGTTTGGTTTGGTTTTCTCAATTTGCCAGCTCTCTAACCTCCCTCACCCCACAGCTGTTGCTCAGAGTCCTCTAATCCTCCTCAGAGAACACAAGAACTAAGCCTGGAGCCTACCTCTACCACCCTTACCCCCAAAGGTAAGCTGCCATCACAGATAGTAAGGTTATTTTCTCTTTGCTGTTTTGAAACAATGTTTGGAAAAAATTTGAGAAAGTGTACATAGTAAGAAAAGTTTGATCTCCACTTATATGAAACCCATGTCTACTGCTGCCTTTTGAAATCTTGGCTTTCATTATGATTCATACAAGCAAATGCAATGTTGGAGGAAATATCTTCACCACACCTCAAGAAGGAAGAATGTTGGTTTCAGAGCCCTACAGCATTTATCTAGATGTCAGGTATTAAAAAGCCCAACTAAAAACAAACAATGAATACCAAAATAATTTTTAACTACACAAAGACTTAATTTGTGAAAAATTTCCTATCTCTAGGACTTGACTAAATAGAAAACAATAAAACACCGAGTTAAAGCTAGATTTTTCTAATTTGTAAACCACTCAATTTGTTCATCAATGATAATAATAAAAAATCTAGGTTGGTGAATATTTTTCATCAAATGAGTGGGAAATATTTTTCTTTGATTATCTTATCCACTCATTCATTTGGTTTACAAATATTTGTTAACTACCTGCTATGTGTCAGCAAGGTTCTAGGTACTCAAGACACAATAATAATCAGAAGTTACCAAAACCTAAACAAACAAACATACAAAAACCCTTGGCCTCACTGAATTTAAATTCCAGCATGGGAGGCATATCATAAACAATGGACATAATAAATAAATAAACTATCAGGATTTTAGAAAATGATACATGCTATGAACAAAAATAAAGTGAGATATAGATTAGAAGTTCTTGGGAGATTAGCAATTTGAATAGTTGGTGAAGGCAAGACTTATTGAGGAACTGATAATTTGATCAATGACTTTAAAGAGGTGAGGAAGTTAGCCATGTGCTGTTTTTTTCCATAAGTTATTGGGGTACAAGTGGTATTTGATTACATGAGTAAATTCTTTAGTGGTGATTTGTGAGATCCTGGTGCACCCATCACCCAAGCAGTAAACACTGCACAGTATTTGTTGTCTTTTATCCCTCACCCCTCTCCCACTCTTCCCTGCAAGTCCCCAAAGTCCATTGTATCATTCTTATGCCTTTGCTTCTTCATAGCTTAGCTCCCACATATCAGTGAGAACATATGATGTTTGGTTTTCCATTCCTGAGTTACTTCACTTCGAATAATAGTCTCCAATCTCATTCAGGTCATTGCAAATGCTGTTAATTCATTCTTTTTTATGGCTGAATAGTATTACATCATATATATATATATATATATATATATATATATATATATATATATATATATATATATACACACACACACACACACACACACACACACCACAGTTTCTTTATCCCCTCATGGATTGATGGGCATTTGGGTTGGTTCCATAATTTTGCAATTGCGAATTGTGCTGCTATAAACATATGTGTGCAAGTATCTTTTTTTGAATAATGTCTTCTTTTCCTCTGAGAAGATACCTAGTGGTGGGATTGCTAGATCAAAAGGTAGTTCTACTTTTAGTTCTATAAGGAATCTCCACACTGTTTTCCATAGTGGCTGTACTAGTTTACATTCCCACCAGCAGTGTAGAAGTGTTCCCTGATCACTGCATCCATGCCAACATCTACTGTTTTTTTATTCTTTATTGCCATTCTTGCAAGAGTAAGGTGGTATCACATTGTGATTTTTATTTGCATTTCCCTGATCTTTAGTGATGTTGAGCATTTTTTCATATGTTTGTTGGCCATTTGTATATCTTCTTTTGAGAACTGTCTATTCATGACCTATTTCTCTTTGTTTTTATTGCAATTGCATTTGGGTTTTTGGTCATGAAATCCTTGCCTAAGCCAATGTTTAGAAGGGTTTTTCCCATATTATCTTCTAGAATTTTATAATTTCAGGTTCTAGAGTTTTTTTAGTTTAGGTTTAAGTTCTTAATCTATCTTCAGTTGATTTTTGTATAAGGTGAGAGATGAGGATTCAGTTTCATTCTTCTAAATGTGGCTAGCCGACAGCACCATTTGTTGAAAAGGGTGTCCTTTTGCCACTTTATGTTTTTGTTGGCTTTGTTGAAGATCAGTAGGCTATAAGTATTTGGGTTTATTTCTGGGTTCTCTATTCTATTCCATTGCTCTATGTGCCTATTTTTATACCAGTACCATGCTGTTTGGGCAACGATGGCCTTGTAGTATAGTTTGAAATCAGTTACTGTGATGCCTCCAGTCTTGCACTTTTTGCTTAGTCTTGCTTTGGTTATAAGAGCTCTTTTTTGGTACCATATGAATTTTAGAATTGTTTTTTCTAACTCTGTGTATTTTGATGGGGATCATGTTGAATACATAGATTGCTTTTGGCAGTATGGTCATTTTCACCATATTGATTCTACTCATCCATGAGCATGGGATGTGGTTCCATTTGCTTGTATCATCTACGATTTCTTTCAGCAGGTTTTGTAGTTTTCCTTGTAGAGGTCTTTTGACTCCTTTGTTAGGTATATTCCTAAGTATTTTTTATTTCAGCTATTGTAAAAGGGGTTAAGTTCTTGATTCGATTCCCTGCTTGGTCACCATTGGTGTATAGAAGAGCTACTAATTTGTGTACATTAATCTTGTATCTGGAAACTTTGCTGAATTCTTTCATCAGTTCTAGGAACTTTCTGTAGGAATCCTTAAGGTTTTCAAGGTAAACAATGATGTCATCAGCAAACAGGGACAGTTTGACTTCCTCTTTACTGATTTGGATGCCCTTTATTTCTGTCTCTTGTCTGGTTGCTCTGGCTAGGATGTTCAGTACTATGTCGAAGAGAAGTGGTAAGAGTGGGCATCTTTTTCTCATCCCCATGCTCAGAGAGAATGTTTTCAACTTTTCCCTATTCAGTATAATGTTGGCTGTGGGTTTGTCATAGATGGCTTTTATTACATAAAGGTATGTCCCTTGTATGCCAATTTTGCTGACAGTTTTAATCATAAAGGGATGCTGGATTTTGTCAAATGTTTTTTCTGTATCTATTGAGTTGATCTTGCGATTTTTGTTTTTAATTATGTTTATGTGGTGTATCACATTTATTGACTCGCATATGTTAAACCATCCCTGCATCCCTGGTATGAAACCCATTTGATCATGGTGGATTATCTTTTTGATATGTTGTTTGATTTGGTTAGCTAGTATTTTTTTGAGGATTTTAGCATCTATGTTCATCAAGGATATTGGTCTGTAGTCTTCTTTCTTGGTTGTGTCTTTTCCTGGTTTTGTTACTCGGGTGATGCTGGCTTCATAGAACGAATTAGGGAGGGTTCCTTCCTTCTCTATCTTGTGGAATAGTGTTGAAAGGATTGATACCAATTCTTTGAATGTCTGGTAAAATTCTGCTGTGGATCCATCTAGTCCTGGACTTTTTTTTGTTGGTAATTTTTTAATTACCATTTCAATCTTGCTGCTTGTTATTAGTCTGTTCAGGGTACCTAATTCTTCCTGATTTAAGCTAGAAGGGTTGTATTTTTCCAGGAATTTATCTATCTTTCTAAGTTTTCTAGTTTATGTGCCTAAAGGTCTTCACAGTACCCTTGAATGATCTTTTATATTTCAGTGGTGTCAGTTGTAATAGCTCCTGTTTTATTTCTCAGTGAGGTTATTTGGATTTTTCTCTCTTCTAACTTCTTTCTAACTTCTTGCTAACGGTCTATCAATTTTATTTATCTTTTCAAAGAACCAGCTTGTTGTTTCATTTGTCTTTTGTATTTTTTGGCTTGTTTGTTTCCATTTTGTTTAGTTCTGCTCTGATCTTGGTTATTTCCTTTCTTCTGCTGGGTTTGGGTTTGGTTTGTTCTTGTTTCTCTAGTTCCTTGAGGTGTGACCTTAGACTGTCTGTTTGTGCTCTTTCAGACTTTTTAATGTAGATATTTAAGGCTATGAACTTTCCTCTTAGCACTGCCTTAGCTGTATCCCAGAGGTTTTTGATAGATTGTGTCATTATTATCAGTCAGTTTGAAGAATTTTTAATTTCCATCTTGATTTCGTTTTCGACCCAATGCTCATTCAGGAGCAGGTTATTTAATTTCCATGTATTTCCATGGTTTTGAAGGTTCCTTTTGGAGTTGATTTCCAGTTTTATTCCACTGTGGTCTGAGAAAGTGCTTGATATAATTTCAATTTTCTTAAATTTATTAAGGCATATTTTATGGCCTATTATATCTTGGAGAAAGTTCCATGTGCTGCTGAATAAAATGCGTATTCTGCCTTTGTTGAATGAAATGTTCTGTATATATCTGTTAAGTCCATTTGTTCCAGGGTATAGTTTAAATCCATTGTTTCTTTGTTGACTTTCTGTCTTGATGACCTGTCTAGTGCTATCAGTGGAGTACTGAAGTCACCCACTATTATTGTGTTGCTGTGTGTCTCATTTCTTAGGTCTATTAGTAATTGATTTATAAATTTGGGAGTTCCAGTGTTAAGTGCATATATGTTTAAGATTGTGATTTTTTCTTTTGGACAAGGCCTTTTACCATTATGTAATGACCCTCTTTATCTGTTTTAACTGCTGTTGCATTAAAGTTTGTTTTGCCTGATATAAAAATAGCTATCCCTGCTTGCTTTTGGTGTCCATTTGCATGAAATGCCTTTTTCCACCACTTTACTTTAAGTTTATGTGAGTCCTTATGTGTTAGGTAAGTCTCCTGAAGGCAGTAGATAGTAGGTTGGTGAGTTTTTATCCATTCTGTGATTCTGTATCTTTTAAGTGCCACATTTAGGCCATTTACATTCAATGTTAAAATGGAAATGTGAGGTACCATTGGATTCATTGTGCTTTTTGTTGACTGTGTACTTTGTTTTTGTTTTGTTTTTCTTTGCTTTTTAACATGTATTTTTGTTTTATAGGTCCTGTGATTTATGCTTTAAAGAGGTTCTGTTTTGATGTGTTTCCAGGATTTGTTTCAAGATTTAGAGCTCCTTTTAGCATTTCTTGTAGTGGTGGCTTGGTAATGCTAAATTCTTACAGCATTTGTTTTCTGAAAATGACTGTATCTTTCCTTCATATATGATGCTTAGTTTCTCTGGATACAAAATTCTTGGCTGATAATTGTTTTGTTTGAGGAGGATGAAGATAGGGCCCCAATCCCTTCTAGCTTGTAGGGTTTCTGCTGAGAAATCTTCTATTAATGCGATAGGTTTTCCTTTATAGGTTACCTGGTGCTTCTCTCTCACAGCTCTTAAGATTCTTTCCTTTGTCTTAACTTTGGATAGCCTGATGACACATACCTACATAAGGATCTTTTTTGCAATGAATTTTCCAGGTGTCCTTTGTGCTTCTTGTATTTGGATGTCTATGTCTCTAGCAAGGCTAGGGAAGTTTTCCTCAATTATTCCCTGGAATATGTTTTCCAAGCTTTTAGAATCCTCTTCTTCTTCAGGAACACTGATTATTCTTAGGGTTGGTCGTTTAACATAATCCTAGACTTCTTGGAGGCTTTGTTCATATTTTCTTATTCTTTTTTCTTTGTCTTTCTTGGATTGGGTTAATTTGAAGACCTTGTCTTTGGGCTCTCAATTTGTTTCTTCTACTTATTCTATTCCTGACACTTTTCCAGAGCATTTCACATTTCTAAAAGTGTGTCCAAAGTTTACTGAATTTTGGATTGTTTTTTCTTTAAGCTATTTATTTCTTAGAATATTTCTCCCTTCACTTCTTGTTTCATTTTTTGGATTTCCTTGCATTGGGCTTCTCCTTTATCTGGTCCCTCCCTGATTAGCTTAATAATTAACCTCCTGAATTCATTCTCAGGTAAATCAGGGATTTCTTCTTGGTTTGGATCAATTGGTGGTGAACTAGTGTAATTTTGGTGGGGAGTGTGGATGAGCCTTGTTTTGTCACATTACCAGCATTGGTTTTCTGGTTCCTTCTCATTTGGGTACGCTCTGTCAGAGGGAAGGTCTATGGCTAAAGGCTGTTGTTCAGATTTTTTTGTCTCACAGGGTGTTCCCTTGATGTAGTACTCTCCCCCTTTTCCTATGGATGTGGCTTCCTATGAGCCAAACTGCAGTGATTGTTTCTCTTCTGGGTCTAGCCACCCAGCAAATCTACCTGGCTCTGGGCTGTTACTGGGTGTTGTCTACACAGAGTCCTGTGATGTGAACCATCTATGGGTCTCTCAGCTGTGGATACCAGCGCCTGCTCCAGTGGAGGTGGTGGAGGGTGCGATGGACTCCGTGAAGGTTCTTAGCTTTGGTGGTTTAATGCTCTATTTTTGTGCTGGTTGGCCTTCTGCCAGGAGGTGGTGCTTTCCAGAAAGTATCAGCTGTAGTAGTATGAAGAGGAACCGGCAGTGAGCAGGGCCCTAGAACTCCCAAGATTATATGTCCTTTGTCTTCTGCTACCAGGGTAGGTAGGGAAGGACCATCAGGTGGGGGCAGGGCTAGGCGTGTCTGAGCTCAGACTCTCCTTGGGCAGGTCTTACTGGTACTGCTGAGGCGGATAAGGGTGAGATTCCCAGGTCACTGGAGTTGTTTACTTAGGAGGCTTCTGGCTGCCTCTGCTGAGTCATGCAGGTTGTAAGGGAAGTGGGGGAAAGCTGGCAGTCACAGGCCTCACCCAGCTCCCACACAAACTGAAGGGCCAGTCTCATTCCCACTGTGTCCCCCGCAACAGCCCCAAGTCTGTTTCCAGACAGAGGGCGAGTCAGGCTTGAAAACTTGCCCAAGGCTTTCCACCTCCCAGCTGTGAAAGAAAAGGGCTTTAGTTCTTCCCCCGCCTGTGAAGTCTGCAAGCCAGATTCACACCCTCCCCCAAGTTCTGCCCAGGAGGCTTCTCGCCCCGCTCAAATTGTTATAAAGTTCAGCTAGGGAAGATTTTCTTTCCGTGGAGTTATTCCCCCTGCTCCACTGGCCTCCCTCCTGATGGATCCCTATGGTGTCAGGCAGGAATGGGCTGCTTGAGGATTCAGCGAGATCCCAGGGCCTCCCTGCTGCCTCCTCCACCCCTGTATTTCGCTCGGCTCAGCTCTCTAACTTGACTCAGTTCCAAGTAAAGTTGGGAACTTCGCTGGCAAACAGACTTCAGCTTCTCTAGTCGGGGGGTGTGTTCAGAAGAGGAGGGTCTCCCTTTTCCACGTCCGTAGTTGGGGCACTCACAGTATTTGGAATGTCTACTGGGTACGGCAAGAGCAGTCCGCTTCCTTCAGAGGGTCTGTGGTCCTCTCAGAATTGCTGTTTTGTCCTTGCAGTCGATCTGGAGCTAAAATTCACAATGCAAGCCTCTGCATGCTGCTCTGTCTGGAGCTGCAATCTAGTCCTGCCTCCCATCCACCATGATCCTGAGATCACCTCCATGTGCTATTTTAGAAGACATTTTATTCAGAGATAATAGGAGGCAGGGAGGCCAGTGTCGATAAAGATGAGTAAGAGGAAGAGAGGTAGCAGATGAGAAGGAATGATGATCAGGCTATGTGAGCCTTTGTTGAATACATTGAGGACATGGCCTTTTTTTTCTGAAATGGGAGCAATGTGAAGGTTGTTTCATAAGTGTCCTTTAGCTGTAAAATTCCTTGTGGCATGGGAGTATCAGCAGAAACACGGAGACCAGTTATGAGGCTTTTGCAGTAATTTGGATGACATAATGGATACCCTACTACCAGGATAAAAGTAACTTAAAATATTTTTTGCTGAATGAAAAATTTTTGGTCAAATTTTTAAGTCAGCATTATAAAAAGATTATAATTATAAAATGATTGTCAATTAAAATTCCTACCATGGAAGTCCTCAGAAAAGGGCAAGTTGGAGATGTAGGCCAAGTTGTCAACTGCACATGCATCCTGGTATTGGGGTTCTGAAATGTTTTATCTTCCCCCAAGTGTCCCTCTAATAGTTTGTCATGGTGACATGGTGACCCTACACAGTCATTATAAATATGCTCAGTACCTGGGAGGGAAGATAGGAGCTTACTAACAATTTAGATCCTATGAGTACACTGGATAACATTTTAAATTGTGTAGTCAGGGCCTTCTAAATCAGAAACTGGAGAAAAAGTTATTGCAAACCTAACTATTTTGGTTACGAGGAGGCAATTATAATAAAAGGAAATCTCTACCTGGATCATTTGCTATGGCTGTCCATGTACAACACAGAGTTTCTGCCATGGCGAGCATCTGTAACTCGTACTAAACACAGGAAGTTAGGGTGGGAGAGAGGTCTGAATCAAGATAAAGAGGCTACTGCATTCCCACATTTCTCAGTCTGTTTCATAAAATAGAAATTGTTAGAGAAATAAACAGTCATTTCCAAAAAAAGAGTCCTGGGAAATGATGCCTTCAACAAATTTAAATAAGTTTATTTCCATCAAAGCTTGTCGGAGCCTTTAATATGGTAATTTTCATCACAAAAATTCAAGAGTTTAATATTAATATAATATGCTCAATTTCTCAATGTTATTTGACAGTGTTACTCTACAGTAAATTCTTTTCAATCTTCTTTGTATCTTTCACCATCCTAGCACCTCGCATCGTGCTTTGAGTAGGAAATAAGAGAGTAAATAAATCCATCTTCCTAATTCTACAATTAACTTGTTTTCTAATGAAGACTCCAAAAGTGTATGACTCAACTCTAATATCTAAAATATCACAGAAAAGCAGCATTTTCAAATTTAAAAAAAAAAGGGAAATAGATGTGGCTCTAATTATAATGCTTTCTCTTTCTGTAAAGATCTTGAATCGTGTAATTTACAAAATCATTTTCAGTAGTCTATAAATACTAAATAATAGTTAGATATCCATATATGTATATCTCTACATACATATACACATAGTCTTACAATTGTAACACAGCTTATACAAATGTGAGCTTAACTTCGAGGTATGGTTGCTTTAATATATCATTCTTCTAAATAATAAGTACTTGAAACAATCAGTATACTTGTCTTTTGTCATTTACTATGCAAGGTAAATTGAGTAAGAATTTAACCCAATGTGATCCTAAGTCAAAAATCAATGTTTTGTTTATCTACTCCTAACAAGTATAAAGACAGAATGTGAATTAACTAGATATTAATCTATTTTATAACACACTTGCAATAAGTAACCTGAAACTCTTATTTGTCTACATTCTCAGTCCATTAAGTAGCTTCATTTCAAATAACTAAATAACTATAGATATCATCAAAAGTCTTTGAACCAGTCATTTAGAAGCTTTTGTATGCCAGGAATTCTATTCTTCAAAAACATATATTTGGGATTGTAATGGTAACTAATCAGTTTACATCTGTGAGTGTTGTCTTTGTACACGCACATTCGCACACTATAAATGTAGGGTTTTCTTCCTGAATATCCTGTCTCCACTATGAATTGAAATGAATTGATAGTGAAATTTTATTTTTAAAATTGTAAAAAATTTCCTATGCATAAAATAACAGCAAACATTCTTTCATCTACTCTGTCAGGTTCATTCTATAATGAATAGTAAAACACCTTTTATTATGTAATTGGAAACAGGTTATTTTCAAAAAGAATTTTTAATTAAAAACATCTACCAAAAAATTTGCCTTCTAAAAAGAACAAGAACATTTAAAAGTTTTAGAAGCTCTAGCTAGCCCATCTGGCCAATATAATGGTCACAGGTGGACTCAAGAATGTGTATATAGCTATCCCCAGAAAGGTTCCTGGAAACCTCTCCTCTCAGAGCCTGTCCATCTCTCAGTGGGGCAGGGGCATCTTCCTCTAATACACAGAGGCAGTGCTATATTGCATCAATTGGTGTCTTAGTCTATTCAGTCTGCTATTAAAAAAATCTCATAAATTGGGTGTCTTATAAACAACAGATATTTATTTTTCAGAGTTCTAGAGTCTAGGGGGTCCAAAATCAAGGTGCCAGCAAATTCTGTGTCTGCCGAGGGCCTGTTTTCTGGTTCATAGACAGCACTTTCTTACTGTGTCCTTATATGGTATAAGAGGCCAGGGGTCTCCCTTGGGCATCCCTGTCTCCTAATACCATCACTTTGTGGGGAGGTAGGATTTTGACATCCGAATTTTGGGAGGACACAAACATTCAGACTGTAGCAATAGGAGAGGCACTCAATTAGATATGTTTGCACAAAGAAAAAGCAATGACTATTTTGATATTCATGATACTTATTAATATAGTTGATAGTATTTGGCATATTGTAGGTTTAGATATGGAATTTAATAACTTTATAAGTCACCTATAATCATAATTCCCCAAACTCTTTGAGGTAAAAAGAATTAATGGAAAAAAAGAAAATGAAAGGCTTTCTTTTTTTCTGATTTTGAACAGATGCACTTCAGAAAAATGGTGGTAGTGTCCTTTTGGTAAATCAGAATGTCAGCTGAGTATTTTTAAAAGTAAAAAAAAAAATAAAATCCTGGACTTTCTCCGAAAGGTTAAAATGGTTTAAGTAAATTTAGTCAAAGTAAATGACATCTAGTGAAGAATACAAGGAAACTATATTTATTTATAAATGCTTTCACTTAAATTCTAAACAAGCAATTTACTAAGCTATAATTTCAAGGAATTGTGATGTGATTCTGACAAAGAATATCAAGAATTTTAAATGGTAAAGAAGTGATGGGTGGACAAAGGAACACAGGTTGATAAAAAGATTAATCTACAGTCTCAGGCATCTTAATGTTACAATCTATGGTTATGAGTAATCATTTGGAAACAAAACTCCTCTAAGTGGCTCTTGTCCTTTTCCTGCCCTCACAGTACTTAACCAGCTGTAGCTGACATCAACGCAGGAAGTAGCCACATTTCTGCAAATCAGAGGCAGTTAAGAGAGACATATATTGTCAGCCATTAAACCAGCTTTTGATGTAGTATCAGGGTACAAGCTTTATCACTCAACATGTACATGAGGTTAGTTTAGTCATAGTGTGAAAGAATTATTTCATTTAGCAGATACTGACATTTCACCGAATAAAGTAAAAGTAAAATGAAATGCAATGAGTTAAAATAACAATATAAGTAGGTTATTAAGAATTAACACTGAATGCATCCAAACCTGTTTGTCTCCAAACATGTCTGACATCATGTTTACATGGTTATCAATGCCACAAACAGCAGAGGTCTGGCCTGGTGTGGGTCAAATACTGATAACTATTCAGCATTTGTTTTAAGGTAAGTTTGATTCCTTGGATATATTTCCATATTTATTTAATCCCTAGCAAAACATGCTTTGCCTTTTTATGTCATCTTAACAATAGTCAAGTTCAGATATTCAGGATACTTGGAAACTTCTGTGTACGGTAAAAGATGGATTGTTCTATCTCTCCTTTGTGTAGTCATTTACTAACACCAGAGTCACCCCCTTTCACTCCTTAATCACTTAGACAACAGGCTCATTGCCACTCTCCCTAGCATTACTCTGCTTGGTCTGAGTAACGTAACTGTCCACATCGACGGCTCTGTCAACACTCAGGTCCCTCATTCCTTTACTTCCACTCCTAGGCCTGTCTGCCATTCTCCTCTGCTGACTCAGATTCATGGGCATACCCTAGGGGTTGGCAAACTATCTCCATGGGCCAGCTACTTGTTTGTTTTGTTTGGTTTCGTTTTTTAATAGACATTATTTTTAGAGTAGTTTTAGATTCACAGCAAAATTGAGGGGAAGGTATAGAAATTTCCTACATACTCCCCCACCCCCATCTGTACATTTCTTACAATGATGAGCCTACATTGATACATCATTATCACCCAAATCATAGTTTACATTAAGGTTTATTCTTCCTATTGTAGATTTTATGGGATTGGAAAAATGTATAATGACATGTATTCACCATTATATTATCATACAGAGCAGTTTCATGTCCCTAAAATTGCTTTGTGCTCTGCCCATTCTTCCCTCCCTCCCCACTAACCCCTGGCAACCACTGATCTTTTTACTGTCTCCACAGTTTTGCCTTTCTCAGAATGTCATAGACTTGGAATTATACTGTAGGCAGCCTTTCCAGATTGATTTTTTTTTTTACTTAGTAATATGCAGTTAAGTTTCCTCCATGTCTTTTTAAGGCTTGATAGGTCATTTCTTTTTATTACTAAATAAAAACATTGGATGTATCACAGTTTATTTATCCACTCACCTACTGAACGATATCTTGATTACTTCTAACTTTTGGCAATTATGAATACAACTACGATAAACATCTGTGTGTAGGTTTTTGAATGGACATAAGTTTTTTACTCCTTTGGGTAAATACCAAGAAACGTTCTATGAACTGCATATTGGTGTTCCCCCAAAGCTTATATGATGAAACCGAAACCTCCAAAGTGATGGTTTGGAAGATGCAGCCTTTGGGAGGTGATTAGGTCATGAGGATGGAGCTGTCATGAATGGGATTGATGGCCTTATAAAAGACTCTTCAGAGAACTCCTTTGGCCCTTCTGCCATGTGAGGACATATCAAAAAGATAGTCACCTATGAACCAAGAAGCAGAACCTCACTGGACACAGAATCTGCTAGTGCCTTGATTTTGAGCTTCCCAGCCTCTCAAAGTATAGGAAATTAATTAAGCCACATTGTCCATGGTATTATTATTGTAGTAGCCTGAATGAACTAAGACAGAGTATGATTGCTAGATTGTGTGTTAAGAGTATGTTTAGTTTGGTAGGAAACTGCCAGCCTGTCTTCCAATGTAGCTGTACCATTTTACATTCACACCAGCAATAAAGGGAGTTCCTGTTGCTCTACATTCTTGCCAGCATTTGGTGGTGTTGGTGTTCTGGACTTCAACCATCCTAATAGTTGTGTACGCATATTTCATTGTCATTTTAATTTGCATTCCCATAATGACACATGATATTGAATATGTTCTCATATCTTTATTACTCATCGGTATATCTTCTTTTGTGACGTATCTATTAATGTCTTTGGTCTATTTTTTAACTTATTGTTGAGTTGTAAGGATTTTTATGTATATTTTGCACAACAGTCTTTTATCAGAAATGCCCTTTGAGGATATTTTGTCCCGGTCTGTGGTTTATCTTTTCATTCTCTTGACAGTGACTTTTCCAGAGCAGACATTTTTATTTATAATGAAGTCCAACTTATCAATTTTTTAATGAACCATGCATTTGATGTTGTATCTAAAAAGTCATTACCATGCCCAACGTCATTTAGTTGGTTTTCTATATTACCTTTTAAGAGTTTTGCATTTTCCATGTAGGTCTATGAGACATTTAGATTTATTTGGAGGAAAAGTAAGGTCGGTGTCTACATTTTTTTTTTTTGCATGTGACTGTCCAGTTGTTCCAGCACCATTTCCTGAAAAGACTATCTTCTCTCCATTGTGTCGCCTTTGCTGTTTTATCAAATGTCAATTAACTATATTTATGTGGGTCTATTTCTGGGCTCTCTATTCTGTTCCATTAATCAATCCGTTCTCTGACCAATACCACACTGTCATGATTAATGTCGCTTTATAGTAAGGTTTAAGGTTTGGTGGTGTTCGTCCTCTGACTTTCCTGTTTTCCTTCAATATTCTGTTGACTTTTCTGGGTCTTTTGCCTCTCCATATAAACTTTTGAGTCAGTTTATTGATACCACCATAACATGTTGCTTGGGTTTTGATTGGGATTGCATTGAAACTATAGATCAAGTTGGGAGGAATGGACTTCTTAGCAATGTTGAGTCTTCCTACCCATGAACATGGCATCTCTCTCCATTTGTTTAGTTTTTCTTTGATTTCTTTCATCAGAGTTTTGTAGTTTTTCTCATATAGATCTTATACATTTTTTAAAATTTCTACCTAGGTATTTTATTTGGGGGTGGTGCTAATGTAAATGGCATTGTGTTTTTAATTTCAAATTCCACTCATTCATTGCTGGTATATGGGAAAGTGAGTGCATTTTGTATATTAACCACGTATCTTGAAATCTTGCTTTAATTGCTTAGCTGCTTGTTTTTATAAATAAAATTATACTGGAACACAACCATGTGCACTAGTATTGTCTGTGGCTGCTTTCTAGCTACAACAGCAGAACTGAGTAAATGCAACAGAGCTTCTATGGCCTCCAAGCCTGAAATATTTATGTTACTGATAATAATTTTATTCTTTTTCCATCATCTTAATTGCATGCATCTCACTCTCCTGACTCTACCTTCTATCTTTCCAGCTTAGTCCCTCTAGACTCCTAATTCCAGCAATTTTATCACACCTTTGGGCTTTCAATACATCAATACAACATCCAGCTTCATTTTTAGTGACTTCTTTCTTCCATTTCTTACCCAGCTTCTACTCCATGATTCATCTTTGTAATCATTCCTTTTCATACATTCTCTTTCTTTTCATAATATTTACTTGGAAAAAATTTCAAGCATGGATAAATGTAATTCTCCATCTGCTTTGTGCCTAAAACTCTGCAGTTGACTATAACTGGAGAAAAACACAGAACCATGTTCACTGGTTTCTCTTTCACTTCGTGATAACAGAACTTAAATAAATTTTAAGTTTAAAAAGAAACTATTTTATTTCTCTAACAAATTCATTCTCCTCAATGCCTACTTCATACTTTCTGCATCCTCTTCAAAGTATCATACCTCCCCCCATGTCTCAACAAATGAGTGAAAATAGAAGTAATCAGAAAAGACATTCCACATCCTCCTACCATATCTACCCACTTACCAAAATCTGAGCTCTTATGCTGTTTTTTTTTTTTTTTTTTGCTCAACATATTAAACTGTCTATGCTCCTATGTGAAAACTTATCCACTCAATCCCTTTTCTTTCTAGACACCTCAAGTATGTCATTACAGAAATTGTCCTTTCTCCTTCCCCCACACTATTATTACTCCCTCTCTACTGGATGATCCCCATCAACAACCAAACATGCTGTAATGCTGTAATTCCTCTCATTTTAAAATAAAAACATTCTCTTGGCTACATATTACCTTTCCATTTTTCTGCTTCCCTCTATTAACACTCCCTAAGAGTAGTCTATAATCAATATCTCTACTTCATTGTTTTCTCTGCTTTCTTGAAGGCAATCTAATAAACTTTATCCCAAACACTCTACTGAAACCAGTCTTCTCAAGGCCACTGATGCTAATTCCAATAGTCAAATACAGCCCTCATGTTACTTAACTTTCAGGATAATTAGCTTGGGTTTTTTCCTATGCAGACCGTAAGACAAGAGTTCAAAGGCAGGTAGTTTACTTAGGAATCATAGGGAACACTAATAGGTGAGTGGGAAGTGGTACAGGAAAGAAAAGCCAGACAATGAAGAGTATATTATTAAAACAGCCATCACTGGAATTAAGTTCCATGAGGAAACACATAGAAAGGGTATGAACACTCATCTCAGCATTATTTCCACCTAAGGATCTAGAGAGCTGGGGTACTTATACAGTGGCTCCCTCAAGTCATTGGTTAAGGCCTTCTGAATGGCAGAGTTATATTAATTAACCAGCATTTCTGGCCTGGTTTATGCTTGGGCAGAGTGAATTTCCTTGGTTTTGGAAACAATCCTTAGGTACAAAGATGTGGAAATCCTTAGGTACAAAGAAGCTGAAAGTTGGCAGGAATGCTCTGAATAGCAAGGTCCAAGGATGTGAGTGAAGCACCTATGGCATCTGTTAAAACATGCTCATACTCCCTCTTGAAATATTTTCTTCAGGTGGCTAGAAAGAACACAGACTCCTGGTTTCCCTTTTACTTTTCTGGTCTCTTTTTTTTTCTCCTTTGTTTCTTTCTCCTCTTCTAGCCAACCACTGAATGTTCTCTCTGTTATCTACACACACTCCCAAGGTAATCATATCCAGTTTCTATATGTTGATGTCTTCAAAATGTACAACTTTAACCTAGATCTTTTCTTTATTTGACAAACTGTCTACCTGACATCTTCACTTGGTTGTCCAAGAGTTATCTCAAAGATACCATGTCTGGGACTTGGTCTCCCTATCATCTTCTTTATCTCAATGGCATTCCCATTTTTCAAATTCCTCAAGTCAAAAACCTTGGAAGCTAGATTAACTCATTTCTTTCCCTCATACTCACATGCAATGCATCCATAAATTCTATTAGATAAACATTCCAAATATAACTTAGAATCTAACCACTTCTCACCATCCCCAACATTAACAACCCAGTCCCATATTCTGTCAACTAAATAATTATAATAAGCTTTTAATGTGTTTTCCTCTTTTCATCTTCACTTCTCCCTCCCGACACACACGCACGTATGCACATACAAATACACAATCTATTTTCAATATGGCAGATAGAGTGTGATCTTTTTAAAGCATTAGTTAGATCAAGTAATTACTCTCTTCAAAACTCAATTTTTTTTATCTCATTGAGAGTAAACGTTTGTCTTTATACAATCCAGCTTCTACTACCTTAATGATCTCATCGGCCACCACATCCTTCTCCCTTACTTTGCTCTGGCAATTGTGTCCCTCACTATTACTGAAACACTAGTTACACTCATAAGTCAAGACCTATAAATTTGCTGGTCTCTTTGCTGGTCTCTTTCCCCCCAGTGTTGCCATGGCTCATGCCTCACCTCCTTCAGATTTCTGCACAAATGTTTCTGTAACAGTAACCATCCTATAAAAAACAAAACAAACAAACAAAAAACCCTACCCCCAGCAGTAGTCCCTCTCCTCTTTCCCTGCTTTAATTATTATCTGACATATTATAATGTATATTTTATTTGTTTACTTGTCTCTCCTCACCTGAACATAAGCTCCATAAAGACAAACATTTTTCTCTGTTATTCACCACTGTATCTTCAGACCCTAAAATAGTGCATGTCACAAGGTTGGCATTCAAATAACACTTGGTAAATATGTGAAGGAATGAATGAAGAATAATTGAAATTAGCAATTAGCATTATACAATGGAACATGCTCATATTATATAATTATAAACAAATTCAAATAAGAGGAGCCCTGTCTATAACAGGAAACTTATTCCCAGGGTGAAGAACTGAGAAGGGTCTAAGATTTTACCCTGCTAGAAAGACAAAAAGTTTTCTTGTCATTTTCCTCTATGCTGGGAGAAAGCACAAGGCTCTGGATTCAGAGACAAAGGACTTTATAACTCTCAGCATGGCAGGCAGCATAATCTTCATGTTTGTATTGGTTCCCCTTGGCCTCTAAATCACATGACAATGTTATAGAAGGGAGCCCAGGTAGATTCTGTGCACACAGTGTGTTTGTGTCATAGCTGAGGAATCCTGAGCATAGGAAACCCCATCTTACAAGGGAACTGTTAGCGAACCTGCCCAAAGCTCTGCCCAGAGGGAGACATTTTCTTTTTATTCTGGATAGAAAATCAATCTGCCCTCTGCTATGGTCAAAAACACTCTCTATTTTCCAAGTTTGTTCATTATGCAAACATCTTTGACAAGATATCCTGGAATAAAAATTATCACAGAATGTGCAGAAATGTAAGGGAATTGTCTTCTAAGCAGATGTTTTCATTGTTGTATTCTACCAAACATTTAAAAAAGAAATTATACCAATTCTACATAATTTCTCCAGAAAAATAGAAAAGGATGGATTAAAACCCAACATATTATAAGTGGCCAGAATAACACACAAAACTGACGAGTAGAGAACAAGACATAAAACTACTAGCCAATACCCATTATGAAATTCACCAACAAAAATTATTAACAAAATGTTAACTAATGAAAACCAGCAATAAATTTTAAAAATAACACATTATGACAAAGTGGGATTGACTCAGGAATGCAAGGTTAGTTCAATATTGAATGCCAATTTTGGTAATTTATCATATTAATTGGTACAGTTATTAATTGTACCAATTATTATGATTGCCTAGTTTTTCTTCTTTAGTCTGTTAACGTGATGGAGGTTGACAAAATTTAACATCCATTCAGGACAAAAACTCTTAGCAAATGAGGAATAGAATGAAACTTCCCTAACCAGATAAAGGAAATGTAAAAACAAAAATTTTTAAAAAACGCATACACAGCTAACATCATAAAATCAGTCACAAGGCAAGGATGTCCATCCTCACAGCCCCTATTCAATGTTTTATTGGAAGGCCTAGCCAGTGAAGTAAGAAAAAATTAAGTAAAATGCATACAGTTTAAAAATGAAGAGATAAAGCTATTCCTATACAAACCTGTACTTGACTATTTATAACAATTTTACTAACATCAGCCCGAAACTTAAAAACAAGGTGAATGTCCTTTAAAAAGTAAATGACATTCTTTGATACATACATGCAATAAAATAGTATTCAGCAATAGAAAGGAACAAGGTATAGTTTTACACAACAACATGGATGAATCTCAAAGGCAGTTTTCTGAATGAAAGAAGCCAATCTCAAAAGGTTATAAACAATATGATTCTATTTATATGTTATCTTGATGTGTATGCATATATAAACCCACAGTCTATTTTCAATATAGCAGATAGAGTGATCTTTTTAAAGCAGTAGTTAGATCAAGTAATTCCTCTCTTCAAAACTCTTCAATGGTTTTTTATCTCATCTTGACCCTGAGGATGAAGAACACATCAGTGGTTCCCAAAGGTTAGAAAAGGAGGAAGTGTTTGACTACAAATGGGCATCAAAAAGGAGTATTTCGGAGTAATAAAACCATTCTATATCCTGAATATTGTGTTAAAATTCATAAAACTGCACACCAAAAAATAAAAGTTAACTTACACACATAAATTTTCAAATGAGTTTTTAAAGATTAAGCATACATCTCACCTATGACCCATCAATTGCACTCTTAGCTATTTACCATGATAAGTGAAAATATTATGCCCACAAAAGGCTTGTACTTAATTGCCTTATTCGTAGTAACCAGAAACTGAAAACAGAATGGATAAACAAATTGTGATTTTTGTATAATGAAATACTACTAAGAAATAAAAAAGAACAACACAAATGAATCTTAAAATTCACTTAAAAATATTATTAAGTGAAAGAAGCCAGGCACAGAACATATGCATTTATAATTCATCTTATAAATCATTCTATTTATAAGAAATCCAAAATCAAACAAAACTTTATATACACGTAAAACTAGAAATCAGAACATTGATTGACTTTGTGCACATGAAAAAGGGGGAGGAGTCTGGAATTAATTTCAAAAAGGACATGAAGGAAATTTCAAGGTGATAGGTATGTTCTATATATTGCTTTGGGTAATGATAATGTGGGTATATATCATCAAAACTCATCACACTAAACATGTATACTTAGATATAAAATAAAATAAAGCTAGAGAAAAAAACCTACATAAATTTTGAAATTAAATGGGGGGCACTCTAATAGCTTTAACCTTGTATTGACCACAAACATAAAATTGAGCACATGTGAAGGGGTGGGGATCAAAAAGTCGGCATTCGTCATGAATGCCCTAACAAGTTATTCATTCTTTAAATGAAGTTTATTAAAATTACTCACCTTAATTAATTTCAACTTCTTGGGCTAATAAGAGCTGAATCTTGTTTTTGACATCTAATGGTGCCTTCTAAATTATATGTGAGACAAAGTCACTACATGCATATGCAGTGATTGCTTATAAAACACGTGCTATTTGTTTTGGCTATAAGAGGGAAATCCTGTATGGATTATTTGAAAAATATTTCCTTTTTTTCCTCTCTCTCTCTCCTTGATTTAAGGGTATAAAAATCTTATACCCATAGGCATGAGATTTTAATTTCCTTTATGTTAACTACAGCTTTTCAAGGTACTTCCAGTTCGTTGGGTCAAAAAGGAAATGAGAAGTATTTGGAAATAATTCATCCCTGTAATGCCGGGGCCTCCAGTGAATGGGGTACCTGCCCCAGAGCACCACCAGCCTAGCTTTCCTTGTCAGTGATGTTAAGTTGCCAACACCATTGTTATGTCAGTGGAGACAATACGGCTGCTGCCAACCCAAGTAGTCACACTCACTCAATACTACCTCCCTTTCCCAGCAGAAATTCCCCTTAACTGTGGAAAGTTCTGCTGAGATGAATGTGTGTCAAAGGGAAAATTAAGAGAAGAGCAAAGATAAGAATTATACAATACAAATTTAAACAAACAAAGATGACTTACATCCTTTTGAAAAAAACAAGTAGCTAAAAAATAGCAGCCCATGGGCCATGATTTCCCCCACCTGGACTTGAGGCAGTTATCGCTAAAATCTCATTTGTTCCTGCTATGCCTGGATAGAAACTCTGAATCATCCTCCTCTCACAATGTCGGGAAAACACTACCAACTGGTTAAAATTGGTACGCAAGGAAAAATTTATTTACCATCCTATGAGAGATTTATGCTAACTTTACAGCGAAAATTTCTGAAAGTTATTTGATACCAGTATTGTTTATTGAAATAAACTTTAGGAGGCATTTAAAGAATTGGTTCTCATATATTTGGGTTACATAACATATATCTCCTGCAAAGACCAGATCAGACCCATTTGAAACCTGAGAGTGCTGCCTTAAAAGGAATTCCCAAATTTCCATAAAATAATTAAACTACTCCCTATCTTCCACCCCCAACCACACCACAAAACTCAAACCCCACCCACCACAAACCTCACGCACACTTTTCCAAGATTTCTGTATTTATGTCAGCACACTAAGGTAATGTGAAATATAGTGTGGACTCTAAAGCTCGAAAAGTGTAATGAAACTGTTAATTTAACATCAAACTTCTGCTCATACAAATTGTTCCCGATTGCCTGTGGAGCTACTCCCATTGTCAGTAACGAAAGCTTTATATGTAATCGAAGAGCAATGCACAGCCTAAGAAATTTCAATCGCTTTAAGTGAGCATTTTAAATTATAAGACTCTTTTTCTAGTTCTGCAAACAAAACATCTACTATGGCTTATGTATTTAGGTTTCTCAGGAAAATTCAAATTGATATTATTTGTAAATGTTAAAATATTATAATTTGAAGAAATCATGTAAGGCATCAATTGGATACGATGTAAGAAAGCAAATGTTAGGTTCAATGAAAGATACACAAATTACAGTTTTAACTTCCAAGCTATTACAAATCTATCATGCAGCATTTTCGTCTCAGATATACTATGAAATTAAAGATTATTTTACTTGCTGCAATTACACAAAAGCACAGCCATTATGAAGGTATTGTTTTTCATGCATGTAGTCTAGTTTTAAAGATTTGTTTATTTTGTTTTGTATTTAAAGAAAAGGCATTATCTGCTCAATTGCCTAGCAAGAAGGTTTTACAAATTTCTTTCAAGTTCCCATAGAAATGCATTGATTAGAGAATAATTTCTGTTAATATTTTCTTCTGTTCCAGACTCCTCTGCTTGCTTAAACTAACAGGGCACCTGCCCCTTGCCATCGTTTTCATCTTTTGTTCGGCTCAGTAGGTTACCTAACTGGTGGATTTTATTGAGTTAAATCAAGCTGTCACTTCATCTGCCTGAAGGATGACTCAAATACTACACATAATAATAAAAGAAAAGTAGGATAAAATAATCTTGTCAAGCCAGAAAAACTGATTGCTTGAAGTTGTAGCCTTCAATCAATACACTAATTCCACAATTTATACCTTTTTCAATTGGAGGGGAAAGAAACCCTGATATGGTATTTCTTGGCTCACTGACCAACTTTGACCTTCTATCTATGTGAATGTAGGATTAACAAGGATTTTTGCTTAGTGAAATCACCTATGAAAATAAGAAAACAAACGTGCACATTTGTGGCTCCAAATAACTATTAATTTCAGAAATGCAAGAAATGCCCAGTGTTTATTTACTATGTCTACTAAAATGAAGATTTTCTTTAGCTCCAGGTGAATGGCCTTTACTATTTAAAAATAATTTAAAGCTAGAATCGGTGCAACAAAACACCTTAAAATTTGGCATGGTATAATCTCCTAAAGATTTTTTTTCATTTGATCTATTTATTAATAGCTTATGCAAAAGAATAGATAACTAAGCAATATACCACTCTTTCTTTCAAATTGTATACTTGTTTGGTTTCTTACAAAATCTGTCATCTATGGTAAAATAGTCATACCATTCTACTGAGCTATAGTTATGATTTCATATGGAGTATAATGAACTATTTTTTCACCTGTTATTATTGCTTAAAATAATCTATCATTTTCAAAAGCTTATGTTTGTTTGTAAATTGTAATTAATTTGCATACCTTTAAAATCAATAAAAACACTTCATTTCAAAATTCTGGACTCTCTTTAACTGTCAGGTTTCTGCTTTCCTTTCATAATTTCTCCCCTGCAGGCACCAACCAGGAAATAAAATTCTTTGTTTAGCAAGCCTTTTATATCTCACTAGGCCACCTGCTTACCTTGAATTGTGGCATGCAATCAAACAGGATCCCAAAAACTAGTACTTTTTCTTCTAGCCTACATCTTAAATGTATATGAGTGTGTACACCACAAAGCAACCTATAAGCTGAGCCATTAACATTTTGACCGAAAACATTTTTAATTCCAAAAACTGAGATGTGCTTGCCCAAATACTTTTGGTTTTAAATAAGTTACCTTTTTACATTATCAAGAAGTAATATTTTTATTAAAATGAGAGCAATGAATTATATACGTAGTCTATGTATATTGCATATGTACATATATCTTAAATACACGTATTTCTTGCTGAAATAAGCTCTTTTAAGCCCGGGCTGTTGTGGAAACACAAGACTATCTTTGTCCTTCCAATATGCTTAATCACATCTCACTGCCAGTTTCAGCTTCTTAAGCCCAGATTTGAACTTTTGAAAGAACTGTGTGAGACCGTTCTGTCATGTAAACCATATGAGCAGGATCGTCGAATGCAGTAGAACACAGCAGATCCCCAAATGCTGCTAGCCTTTAAGAGAATAAATCAGAGTTTGAGATGGGTGAACAAAGAGCTATTTTTTTCTTTACAGGAAACATAAAGATACTTGCCTGACCCAGAGCTTATCCCCTCAAACCAGACCATGTCCTCCTACTTCTGTGCCATTTAGATGTGTTAAAAGGGGGAAGAAGAGGAAAAAAGAAGACAAAGAAAAAGACTAGAAATCTGAAGTGCTTCTCCTCCCTGCAGTCACCTACACACACACACACACACACACACACACACACACACACACACACCACTATTTCTTACCTCCAGTGAAAAATAAGCCAAACCACCTCTTTGAAAAGCTTACATTTACACATACGGAAACATATGTTCATTTTCAAATGGTGAAGAAGTGCATTGAAACCAGTACCAAAATTATCTAGCAAGTAAATTCCAGGATGTAATTAAAGGTCACCAATGGCTTCCTGTTTCTGCAATCCAATGGACTTGACTAATTTTTCATTCTCTATGATATTTCAGTAAAATTTCATTCAGTTGGTTAATCTCTTCTTCATTAAAATATTAACTCTCCTGTATACACTTTCACCTCATATGTGTATTTTACTCTCTTTATATTCTCTTTGTTCTTTCCTCTACTTTCAGCATTCCACAAGATTCCACCCAGGAACCTGTACTTATATTAATATATATCCTTCTCCCTTCGATAATTCATTTAACTGTAAAGGGTTCCATATTCTGACTGAACTATGGACAGCGGTCAATCTAGAGTTCAGGCTTTGGTTCCTAAGAGTCACAAAAATGTCAATAATTAAACACAGAGTCAGGCCAAGGAGACAGTGTGGAACCAAGACAAGTACAGGAGTCAGCAGTCAAAGATCAATTGGAAGACCAGGCTGAGTAAAATAAAAAGGAAAGGAGCATGCCTCTGACAAATGTCAAGATAGTAGAGTGGGCTTCAAACCCAAACAAGTAGCAGAGACCAGAAACATGCATAGTCTTATATACCAAATACCTTAAAGAGGAAAATCCTGCTTCTAAGACCCTTCATACCAGGCAGAAACCAGTGACTGGTTTCCTAGAGATGGACACTAAGAATACAGGTGTCCCTACTGTTGCCTTTAAGTCATTCAAAACAATGAAAAGATCCCAAGAATTTTCTCTTCTGTGCAAATATCTACCAAAGCTCCATCTCTAATCAGACCTTTCTATGTTTTCAGATTTTCAAAAGCTAGCTCTCGCTAGAGGCTCTGTTGTCACTTCAATTTGACAGAAGCTAAACATCTCTTCACTTGAATTCTCTATTTCTGTCCATCATTCATTTATTTAACCAAATGTGTTAAGTGACCACAGTGTGATAGGCAGTATTCTGGGCAATAAATGAACAGCAGCAAAAAAGGTGACAGAAATATCTCCCCAGGTAGAGTTTGCATTTTAGGGTGTAAGAAAGACAGACAACAAACAAAATAAATAAGAAAAGTATATAATATGTTCAATTAGAATATAATACATATATAATAAAGTGTGGATATGGCATCAAGATAGACAAATAAATCAGTGAAATATAATAAAAAGTCTAGAAATAGATCTATATGTATATATAACGGCAACTGGTTTTTGACAAAAATGAGAATGCAATTTAGTAAAGAGAGAATTGTGTCTCCAATAGATGGAGCGGGAAGAGTTAAATATTCATATGCAAAAAAGAACTTTAATCCATACCTCACACCATGTATAAAAATTAGCTCAAAATAAACCATCTCAATAGGATTATATTAAGAAATTGAATTAATAATTAGTAACCTTCCCCCAAAAAAACAGCATGAGGCCCTTGTGGGTTCATTAACGAATTCCATGACACATTTAAGGAAGAAAATATACTAATCCTCTACAATCTCTTCCAGAAGAAGAGGCAATACTTCCTAACTCATTCTATGAAGCCAGCATTATCCTAATACCCACACCAGACAAAAGCATCACAAGAAAAGAAAACTACAGACCAAAATTCCCATCAACATAGATGTAAATATCCTCAACTAAAGATTAGAAAATAGAATTTAACGATGTATTTAAGGAGTTATGTACCATGACCAAATAGGATTTATCCCAGGTATGCAGGCTACTTTAATATCCAAAATCAATTAATATAATTTACCACAGTAACAGGTTAAAAAAGAAAAATCACATGATCGCATCAATAAATGCAAAAGAACATTTGACAAAATCCAACACTCACTCATGATAAAAATTCTCATTAAACTGGGAATAGAGAGAAAAGCCCTCAACTTGATAAGGAATTTCTGCAAAAACAAACAGCTAATATACTGAGTGGTGGGAAATTTAAAGTTTCCACTAAGATCAGGAATAAAGCAAGGATGTTCCTTCTCACCATCACTTTTCAACATCATAGTGGAAGTCCTAGTTAATGCTACAGGCGAAGAAAATAAAAAGTATAAATATTGGAGAGAAAAAATTAAAGTTTCTTTGTTACACATGAAATGACTGATGATTGTCTTCGTAGAAAATCTGAAAGAATTGGCACACACACAGAAACTCCTGTTACTAATAAGCTATTATGGCAAGTTTGCAGGATACAAGGTTAATACACAAAAGTCAATTGCTTTCTTATACACCAGCAGTGAACTAGTGTAATTTGAAACTAAAAACACAATAATATTTACATTAGTACCCTCTAAAAATGAAATACTTAGGTATAAATCCGGCAAAATATATACAAGATCTACATGAGGAAAAGTATAAAACTCTGATGAGAGTTTTTTTAACTAAATAAATGGAAAGGGATTTCATATTCATGGTTAGGAAGACTCCATATTGTCAAGGTGTTAGTTCTTCCCAACTTGATCTTCAGATTCAACATATTCCCAATCAAAACTACAGCAAGGCTGGGCACAGTGGCTCATGCTTGTAATCCCAGCACTTTGGGAGGCTGAGGCAAGAGGATGACTGGAGCTCAGGGATTCAAGATCAGCCTGGGCAGCATGGAAATACCCCATCTCTACAAAAATATAAAAATTAGCCAAGTGTGGTGGTGCATGCCTGTGTTCCCAACTACTCGGGAAGCTGAGATGGGAGGATCTCTTGAGCCCAGGAGGTTGAAGCTGAAGTGAGCCATGATCACACCACTGCACTCCAGCCTGGGTGACAGAGTGAGTCCCTGTCAAAAAAAAAAATCCAGAAAGTTATTTTGTGGATATTGTGATTCCACCAATTGTGATTCTAAAGTTCATATGGAAAAGCAAAAGACCCAGAATAGCCAATTCAATATTGAAGAAGAGCAAAGTCAAAGGACATTCCCTACCTGACTTCAAGACTCACTATAAAGTTGCAGTAATTGACATAGTATGGTATTGGCAAAAGAACAGATAAATCGATCAATGAAAGAGATAGAGAGCCCACATAAATAGACCCACATAAATTTGATCAATTGATCTTTAACAAAGGAGCAAAGGCAATATAATGAAGAAAAGATAATCCTTTCAATGAATGATGCTGGAACAACTAGATATCCAGAAGCAAAAAGATGAATCTAGACACAGACCTTATACCCTCAACAAAAATTAACTCAAAATGGATGTAAAATGACTAAATGTAAAATGCAAAACTATAAAATTCCCAGAAGAAAACATGGGAGATAATCTAAATGATCTTGAATTTGACAATGACTTTTTTTTTTTTAAGACTGGTTCTTTCTTGAGTGGCTTTTTTTTTTTATACTTTAAGTTTTAGGGTACATGTGCACAATGTGCAGGTTAGTTACATATGTATACATGTGCCATGCTGGTGTGCTGCACCCATTAACTCGTCATTTAGCATTAGGCATATCTCCTAATGCTAGCCCTCCCCCCTTCCCCCACCCCACAACAGTCCCCAAAGTGTGATGTTCCCCTTCCTGTGTCCATGTGTTCTCATTGTGACTTTTTAGATACAACATGAAGGCACAATTCATGAAAGAAAGAATTGATAAACTAGCTGGACCTCATTAAAACTAAACATGTTGCTGTGCAAAAGACATTACCAAGAGAATAAAAAGACAAGCCACTAACTGTGAAAGAAATATTTGCAAAAGACATATCTGGTTAAGGATTGTTATCCAAAATATACAAAGAGCTCTTAAAACTCAACTATAAGAAAACAAACACCTGATTTTAAAATAGGCAGAAGACATGAATAGACACCTCATCAAAATATACAGACGATAAGTAAGAAAATGAAAAGATGCTCCCCATCATATGTCATCAGGAAAGGACAAATTAATGGGTACAAAATTACAGTTAGACAGGAAGTATAAATTTTAGTGTTCTATTACACAGTAAGGTGACTATAGCAAATAATAATATCACATATATTTGAAGATAGCCAGAAGAGATTTTTAATGTTGTTATCACTAAGAAATGTATCCCAGAACTTTAAATTAAATTAAATTATTGATGTTTGCATTTATGCATAAAATTCTATGCATTTATGCACCTGCCTGTATTAGGTACTCAGCACATATTTTTTCAATGAATGTACGAATAAATAAAGAATATATAATGTTGAGAGAAAAAAATGATAAATGTTTAAAATAATATAAATTATAATTAATCCAATTTGATTATTACACTACAGATACATGTGTCAAAACATCACATTGTACCCCATAAATACGTATTAGGTTGGTGCAAAAATAATTGCAGTTTTTGCCATTGACAGTAATGGTAAAAACTGCAATTACTTTTGCACCTACCTTATACAATTATTACATGTCAATTATAAATTTAAAAATGAAATTTAAAAACTGAGATACCACCATACAGCTATTGGAATGACCAAAATCCCAAACACTGTCAACACCAAATACTGGCGAGGATTTGAAGCAACAAACACTCTCAAACATTGCTGGTGGGAATGTGAAATTGCATAGCTTCTTTGGAATATCGTCTGGTAGTTTGTCACAAAACAAAACATATTCTTTCATACCATATGATCCAAGAATTGTGCTCCTTGGTATTTACCTAAAAGAGTCAAAAATGTACTTCTGCACAAAAACCTAAACATAGATGTTTATAGCAGCTTTATTCATAAGTGCCAAAACTTAAAAGCAACCAAGATGCCTTTTGGTAGGTGAGTGGATAAATAAACTATGATACATCCAGGTAATGGAATATTATTCAGAGTTAAAAATAAATTAGCTATTAAGCCATTAAAAGACATGGAGGAAACTTAAATGCATGTTACTAAGTGAAGAAGGTCAATCTGAAAGATTACAAGCTATATGATTCCAACTCTATAACATCCTGGAAAAGCCAAAACTATAGAGACAGTACCATTGGTTGTGAGGGGATAGAGGGGAGGGAAAGATAGGGAGAGCACAGAGCATTTTTAGAGCAGTGAAACTACTCTGTAGGATAAAATAATTGTGAATATATATCATCATAAATATGTCCAAATCCATAGAATGTACATCAAGTGTAAACCCTAATGTAAACTATGGTTCCATTAATAATAACCTATCAATGTAGGCTTATCAATTGTAACAAATGTCCCACTCTGGTGCAAGTGGTTGACAGTCGAGGAGGCTGTGCATGTATAAAAGCAGATGGCATATGGGTAGTTTCTGTATCTTCCCTTCAATTTTGCTTTGAACCTAAATCTTCTCCAAAAAATAATCTATTAAAAGATTTAACTAATAAAGAAGCATAGACCAAAATATGTCTTCATACTGTAAAATTCTGGAAGAAAGTGTAAGAGAAAATTTTGCGATTAGGTTAGACAAATATTTCATAGATATAATACCTAAAGTAAAATTGCTAATTTCATAAATTTTATTTTATCCAAATTTAATACTTCTGCTTTTCAAAAGATGTTGTTAAAATAATGAAAATACAAGCCACAAACTGGCAGAAAACATTTGCAAATACTGTACCTGATAAATTACTTGTATTTCATATTCACTTGTTTAAAACCCTCAAAATTCATCAAGATGGACTAAAGACTTAAATGTTAGACCTAAAACCATAAAAACCCTAGAAGAAAACCTAGGCAATACCATTCAGGACATAGGCATGGTCAAGGACTTCATGTCTAAAACACCAAAACCAATGACAACAAAAGACAAAATTGACAAATGGGATCTAATTAAACTAAAGAGCTTCTGCACAGCAAAAGAAACTACCATCAGAGTGAACAGGCAACCTACAGAATGGGAGAAAATGTTTGCAATCTACTCATCTGACAAAAGGCTAATAGCCAGAATCTACAAAGAACTCAAACAAATTTACAAGAAAGAAACAACCCCATCAAAAATTGGGCAAAGGATATGAACAGACACTTCTCAAAAGAAGACATTTATGCAGCCAAAAGACACGAAAAAATGCTCATCATCACTGGCCATCAGAGAAATGCAAATCAAAACCACAATGAGATACTACCTCACACCAGTTAGAGTGGCAATCATTAAAGTCAGGAAACAACAGGTGCTGGAGAGGACGTGGAGAAATAGGAACACTTTTACACTGTTGGTGGAACTGTAAACTAGTTCAACCATTGTGGAAGTCAGTGTGGCAATTCCTCAGGGATCTAGAACTAGAAATACCATTTGACCCAGCCATCCCATTACAGGATTATAAATCATGCTGCTATAAAGACACATGCACACATATGTTTACTATGGCACTATTCACAATAGCAAAGACTTGGAACCAACCCAAATGTCCATCAATGATAGACTGGATTAAGAAAATGTGTCACATATACACCATGGAATACTATGCAGACATAAAAAAGGATGAGTTCATGTCCTTTGTAGGGACATGGATGAAGCTGGAAACCATCATTCTCAGCAAACTATTGCAAGGACAAAAAACCAAACACTGCATGTTCTCACTCATAGGTGGGAATTGAACAATGAGAACACTTGGACACAGGAAGGGGAATATCACACACAGGGGCCTGTCATGGGGTGGGAGGAGGAGGGAGGGATAGCATTAGGAGAGATACCTAATGTAAATGACAAGTTAATGGGTGCAGCACACCAACATGGTGCATGTATACATATGTAACAAACCTGTACGTTGTGCACGTGTGCCCTAGAACTTAAAGTATAGTTAAAAAAAAAAAAGAAAAAGAAAAAAAAATAAAACCCTCAAAACTCAACAATAAGAAAACTACCCAATGAGAAAATAAGCAAAAGATTTTAACAACACTTCAGCAACGAGGATACAGGCATGACCAACAAGCAGATAAAATGATATTTGACATCATTAGTAATTTAAGAAATGATTAATAAGTTAAATACGAATGGATTAAAACTACAATATTATATCACCTCAGATATATTAGGACAACTAAGGTTAAATGATCAGCCATACAAAATGTGGATGAGAATATGGAGAAAATGAAACTCTCAAATGCTGCTGGTAGGTATGCAAAGTGATAGAAACACTTTGGAAAACAGTTTGTCAGTTTTATAAAAAGTAAAATATTCAACTACCATATGAGCTAGCCATTCTATCCCTGGGTAATTACTTAAAAGATATGAAAGCCTATAGTCATAGATAGACTTGCACATGAATGTTCATAGCAGCTTTATTTATCATTACCCAAACCTGGAAACAACTCAAATGTCCATCAACAGGAGAATGGAAAAACAAAAACTGGTACATTCATTTAATGGAACAGTACTCAGCAGTAAAAAGAAATGGGCCACTGATGCATACAACAACATGGATGACTTTCAAAATAAGTATGCTGGAGAAAGAAGTAAGACCCAAAACAAATAAATAAATGAGAAAGAGTGCATATTCTGTTGCTCCTTTTATATAAAATTCTAGAAAATCCAAACAACCTATAGTCATAGAAAGCAGATGAGTGGTTGCCTGGGAAATGGGGATGGGTGAAGGAGGAACACGGGGAATGGAGTGCAAGGGACAGGAGGAAACCTTCGGGGTTATGGTTGTCTTCATTACATTGATTGTGGTGATTGTTCCATGGGTGTAGATATGTGTCAAAACTTATCAAATTGCATACTTTAAGTATGTACAGTTTGTTATATATCAATAAAGTTGTTAAAAATAAATATAAGAGAGATGGAGAACAATTAAAATTGATAGTAAGCATGTGAGCAAAAGAAGCCTGACATGATATGACTATTTTTGTCATTCTTTTGAAAACAAACTATGCAGAGATAAAGATAAAAGTAAAGATGTAATTTAAGTGGTTAATGCAATAAACTAGGCATAATATAATCGTTGCTTGTATCCAGATGATAAAAGTGTAGTGGACAGAAGTAATCAAATTCTGGACATATTTCAGAATAGCATCCACAAATTTTGCTCATGGATTAGATGTATAATGTGAGAGAAAAAGATGACTCAAAAATGACCCCAAGGTTTTTGGCCTTAACAATGGAAATAATTTAACTGATAAAACTATGAGAATAAATAAGAAATAAGTCCAAACACTGAATCCTAGGACATATCAACACAAACAGTTTGAAAAGAAGAGGAGAATCAACAAAAAAGACTGAGAAGGATTAGCAAATATGGTGCGAGAAAAAACAGTAGAGTATGGCATTCTGAAAGAAGAGTTGAGTTGAAAATGTGTTTCAAGAAAGGAATAATAAGAAAGGAGTGGCAAGTGATAAGAAGATTAAGAGAAATGAGGACTGAGAATTGACCAATCTAAATATGCAAGCAACTCAAATAGTTTTACCAGATAAATTGTATTTAGCACTTAGATGTCAGGCCTTGTGCTATGTCCTGGAGGATACAAAAAGCATATAACAGGAAAGGCCCCGGAAATTGGAGATTGGCGCTTTCAACAGGTAGAGAAAGGAAGATCAATACAGAGCTATCCTGGACCTCAAATTGTTCAAGAATGCTTAAAATAATAAAAAAGAAATAAGGAAAGACTCAAAGGCAGATAGGTGCAAACCCAAGACATAAATACACACAAAAAATAGCAAATTTAGTGACAGCAATTTATTTATTTATTTTTATTTTTATTTATTTATTTTTTTTGAGGTGGAGTCTCTCTTTGTCGCCCAGGCTCGAGTGCAGTGGCACGAGCTCACTGCAAGCTCCGCCTCCCGGGTTCACGCCATTCTCCTGCCTCAGCCTCCGGCGCAGCTGGGACTACAGCCACCCGCCACCACGCCCAGCTAATTTTTTGTATTTTTAATAGAAACGGGGTTTCACCGTGTTAGCCAGGATGGTCTCAATCTCCTGACCTCGTGATCCCCCTGCCTCGGCCTCCCAAAGTGCTGGGATTACAGGCGTGAGCCACCGCGCCCAGCCATGACAGCAATTTTCATAAAAACTTGAGAACATGGCAGGGATGCACAGAGAAGCAAAGTGGAATTTCATTCATTCATACCCTCAGAAAGCACTTATTAAGCACATAATAGATGCTGAAAACTAAAGATATAAATCTATGCCTGGGCTCTGGCATGTCATATTCACATACTTACCTTTCTTATATTTTCTTATTTTGTTCTTTAAATCAATTCACTTAAAAAAATTACCTTTTTAACTTCTTATATCATTGACAGAAACTAAAACCAGTTACCCTTGCCAGCATACAAAATACAAATTCTAGTAATGTATACCAGAAAATAAATTCCTTAATGGAACTACTTACGATTGATTGATAGTGACTGTTAACCAAAATGTCCCTTATTTGGGGATATGAGTCTATGTCAATAGGATTATTTACTTTTTTAGATTCACTGCTAATAAGTACGAAGAAACATCAAATACTGGGGGTATATGGGAGAAGAAAGTGTAAAAGATACTTGTCTTTCTTCTCTGAATAGTTGAATCCTGAGAATTAATTCCTAAACAAATGCTGTGGCATTGCTCAATAAATTTTGTGTCAAGAAACCATCTAAAGCAATCCCAGAATTGTTCTTCTTCTGAATATGTTAAATAATTTGGAACTATACAAAAAGTAGTGGGAAAGTGTTTCTTATTCATTCACAGCTATATAAAATTTCATTTGAAAAAATATTAAGATGGGTGTTTATCAAGTCTTTCAAGTGTCTTCATGGAATTTAAAATACTTTCAGTGAAGATTCTAGATGGCTATATAGCCAGGATGTTCAGATGACCAAACAGTTTTCAGCATTTGTTGGTTGTCTGAATGGAAAAATAAGGTTTGGGGCCTTATTTCCAGTGCCCTGGCTATGTGATGTCTGAACACAATAATAATAATGGCTATCATTTATTGACTATTAACTATGTATCAGGCACTATTAATGGTGCTTTACATATAACATCTTGTTTAATTCTCACAATAATAATATTATATGAATCTTACTATTAACCCAACTTTACAGTTAGAGCAAATTGCTTTCAGAGGAGTGAAGTGATTTTTCTGAGATCACACAGCTAGTATGTTGTAAAGCCATGACTTGGGCAAAAATCTGCTTCCAGACTCTCTCTTAAGCCCCAGAATGGCTGTCTGGGAATTGGAGGCTGCAGTTCTTCCTGTCTTCCTAGGGCATTTGGTTGCAGATTTTAAGCACCTGATCTTGGATGTGTATCTCACCATTCTCTTTAGGCATTTGGGTATTCTGGCCCTCAGGAACATCCTGAGGATTCTCCTGATCAGAAATCCCAAGTGCAGCCTAAGAGAAGAGAAGTATATAAGAAGAGAGTGATGGGAGAGGTTGCCATCGGCACTGATGGTCTGTAGCAAGAAAAAGAAAATCACCAACATAGTAGTCGCCTCACTCCATCACACACTTATCCCTCTCTCATTCATGTTCTTTCCCTTCCTCTTTCTCCAAAGGGCTCCCCATGTCACGTCTGCTTGTCTTTCTAGCCATGTCTACCTCTTCTCCAGATTTTGTACCAATTTAAGGAATCCTTAGTCCTGCCAGGCCTCAAGTAGTAAAAAAACTGATCATACTCACCTGGGCCCAGTGGAGGCGGCAGTGAGCTATGGTTTTACCATGGCAACTGTAGCCTGGATGACAGAATAAGACTGGTCTCAAAAAAAAAAAAAAAAAAAAAAAAAAAAGAGGAAGAAGAAAAATGACTAAATAAAAATCCCTCTGTAACTAAAAAAAAATAAAAAAAATAAAAAAACTGATCATACTTAGGCAATAATGTACCAAGAGAAGCTGTCTGTCAACATAAAAGAGTTCTATGTGTGGAGTTTAAAAATATGATAGCTGATTGTGGTGTTCATTTCACAATGTATACGTATATCAAAACATCAAGTTGTACACCTTAAATACATAAGTTTTCTATTTGTCAATTATACCTCAATCAAGGTGAAAAAATATATTAAGATATTTTAAATGATACACTTTTAATGAGAAGAATCTAAGAAGCCACATTTTTAAAAGTATTTTAATACTTATTAAAGAACATTTAATAATCCTTAATGATAGATTAACATAGAAGTCAAAGGAAAAGGAAAAAAAAGCCAAAAAGACCTGGCAGAAGTTTTCAGTTAAGTGTCCTGGGGACGGGAAGGTTTGGTGGTGGGTAGAGTTGATGCATTGATATGTGTGCTTTAACATGTTTTATAAAACAACATCATTATTTGTATTTTGAGATTTTATCCACAAAGTTCAGAAATTGCTTTATGTTTTATTTTGAAGGGGAAAAAAACCTCAAATTTGTTAAGATTTGATTTTTTTAGCTACTGATTTTGATTACTCTTGCCTTGTGACTTTATGATGTCTTTGCTTATATGTAAACAGCCAATCTGGGTTGCGTTTGAGCAAAACCTCCTACCTACAGCCTTCCCTGCTTAGCCCAACTCTGTTCTTACATATCTAACAAAACTTTCTTTGGGAAACTTTTTCTTGAAGTTTGAAAGTATGTATACTCTAACATGAATCTAACATAAAATACAAATATGAAAATTAACGCCGATAAGAATCTTTGTATCTACACAATACGCTTTAAGAGTCTGAAAGCATGTTGTCAATATTAGTCAAATTTTTTGGTAACAGTTGCATTGAGTTAAAGTTCATATACCATGCAATTTACACACATAAAGTATATAATTCAGTGGTTTTTAGTATATTCACATAGATTATCATACAATCAATTTTAGAACATTTTTGTCACCTCAAAAAGAAACTCTTGAAAAGATGCTTTTAGCTATCACCTTTCAATCTTCCTATCTACCACCAAGCCCCACCCCAGCCCTAAGCAACCACTAATCTACTTTCTATATTCATATATTTGCCTCTTCTGGACATTTTGTGTAAATGGAGTCATATAATATGAGGTCTTTTGTGTCTGGTTTCTTCAAATTAGTATAACGTTTTCAAGAATTATTCACACTGTAGCATGTATTACTACTTCATTCTTTTTCATGGCCCAATAAAATTCCATTGTATTGATATAACACATTTTGTTTTTTCATCATCAGATGATGTACATTTGGGTTGTTTCTCCCTTTAGGCTATTATGAATCATGCTGCTATGAATATTCATGTACAATTTTTTGCATGAATATATGCTTTCATTTTGCTTTGATATATACCTAGGAGTGGAATTATTGGGTAATATGACAACTCTGTTTAACTTTTTGAAAAACTCCCAGCCTGTTTCCCAAAGTGACTGCATCATTTTACATTTCCACCAGGAGCATATGACGGCTATTTTTCAACATCCTTGCCAACATTTGTTATTAGCAGACATTTTGATTATAGCCATTCTAGTGAATATGAAGTGCTATTTCATTGGGGTTTTGATTTCATGTATAATGCCTTAATTATTTAAGTCAGTAATAATATTATTAATAATAATTTAATTTATTAGTCTCTGATGAGTAATGATGTTACGTGTATCATTGCATATTGTGCATACTGGCCATTTGCATATCTTCTTTGGAGAAACGTCTATCTAAATCCTTTGCACACTTGCAATTGGGCTGTTGTATTTTCATTATTGAGTTGCAAAAGTTCTTTATATATTCTAGATAAAAGTCTCTTATCAGACATATGATTTGCCAACTTTTTTTCTCACTAAATTGGTTGTCTTTTCACTTTCATGATAGTGTCTTTTGATGCACAAAAATTTTTCACATTTTCTTTTTTTGCTTATATTTTCGTATTTTAGTTTTCTGTTGTCGCATGCATACATGTTATAATTGTTCTCTCTTCCTGATAGCTTGACCATTTAATCATTATTAAATGCCCCTCCTTATCATTAGTCACATTTTTAATTTTAAAGCGTATTTTGTCTGACATTTGTATAGCCACTCCAATTTCCCTTTTTTTTTTTTTTCTTTTTTGAGATGGAGTCTCTCTCTGTTGCCCATGCTGGAGTGCAGTGGCATAATCTTGGCTCACTGCAACCTTCACCTCCCCGATCCAAGCAATTCTCCTGCCTCAGCCTCCCAAGTAGCTGGGAATACAGGCATGCGCCACCACATCCAGCTAATTTTTGGTAGTTTAGTAGAGACGGCGTTTTACCATGTTGGCCAGACTGGTCTCGAACTCCTGACCTCAAATGATCTACCCACCTAGGCCTGCCAAAGTGCTGGGATTACAGACGTGACCCACCACGCCCGGCCCCAACTTTTTATTGTTCAGTTTTTGCTACTAAGAAAAGATTCACTTTGGATACTAAATACATTGAGTTTGGCTTACAAGCTTACTCATCATTTATTGTCTCCCTAAACAACAAAAGTTGACCTTTTATGAGATCTTTAATGCTTTTGTGGAACTTGTGAAATAAAAAATGCCGATTCTTTGGCCCACAGAACAATGAAGTTAGAATCTCAAATAATGGAGTTTAGGTACATGAATATCACCAAACTCTTCAAATGATTCTTATTTCTACTGATATTTGATGGCAATTGTGCTGAAGATTTAATTACACAAGTACAAGAGTCTTTATTATGGAAGTTTTGTTTGTGAGGGTTACACTTTGTAATTTTCTGTTTGGGATCAGTTAATTAATCCCCCTTCCAGATTATAAATTCCCTTCAGGAACAAACCTACATTTAGCAATTAAAGAATACGAATATTCTCTGCACACAAGTACTCAAGAGTGATGAACAAGAGGTAAACAGCATTCCAAGCAGAGGCCAATTAGAAATATGAAACAGCTAGCTTGATTGGAGCACTGTAATCAGTTAGATCATAAGAAGTGGGATATGGACAAAATATACTATTGTAGAGATATTTAGGGCCTGGTCACTTTGTAACAAGCAAAAGCATTTAGATGATATACTGTAAATAGTACCTTTTAGAAGGGGTACTTTACTGACGGATTGGAGGCCTAAGTTCCTAAATATTCCATAGAATATTAGACAAGGGTATGAATATAGACAGGACTGAAGTATAGAAAAGAAGATAGATCATAAGAACGTTAAGGCATAAAATTAAACTAATTACATTGAAGATAAAACAAGAGGGAGTTTACTACCATGAATCCAAAGTTTTTTAAAATGACTTGGATATTGACAGATTCATTAACTAAAATTTACAAAGAAAAGAGCTAAGGCACCCAAAGACTAAGCTTAACAATGTGTGTCGTTTCACATTTGGATTCCGAAATAAGGAACTGCAACTAATGTCTCTGATCCAGCTGCTGGCCCAAAATCAGACTGATTGATTTATTATTTTTATTTTTAAAAGTACTATGCAAATTTTGGCATTTTTCTTTTGTGTGTAATAGTTATCCATTGCTGTGAAACAAATTCCCCTAAAACTTGGTAGCTTAAGACAATAATAAATATTTTGAATCTCACGGAATTTCTCTGGGTTAGGAATTGAGAAGCAGCTGAGTTGAGTGGTTCTGCCTTAGAGACTCTAATGATGTTGAATTCAAAATGCTGCCTGGGGCTATAGGTTTTGGACTCGGGCTGGACAATCTTCTTCCAAAGTGGCTCATTCCCATGACCAAAAAGTTGATGCTGGTTGACGATGGGAGGATGTGATTACTTGCTATGTGAGTCTCTCCATAAGACTGCTTAATTGTCCTCACAGGATGTTTGCTGGACTCCTCTAGAATGTGTATGATCTGAGAGAGAGAACCAGGCAGAAGCTCTATCCTTCAATGGCCTAGACTCAGAAGTCACATGGAACCAAGTAATCCCCAGGTGTTGAGGGAAAGACCTGCTGGGCGGTGATTGAATCATGGGGGCAATTTCCCTCATGCTGTTCTCATGACAGCAAGTGAGTTCTCATGAGATCTGATGGTTTAAAAGTATGACACTTCCTTATCCCAGTCCCGCTCTCTCCTGCCACCATGTAAGACATGCCTTGTTTCCCCTCCGCCTTGTGCCATCATCATAAGTTTCCTGAGGTCACCCAGCCATTAGAAATTTTGAGTCAATTAAACCTCTTTCTTTATAAATTACCCAGTCTCAAGTATGTTTTTGTAGCAGCGTGAGAATGGACTAATACAACAGGCATACCTCCAAGACAGTGTGAGTTCAGTTCCAGACCACAACAATAAAGCAAATACTGCAATAATGTGAGTCACACAAATTTTTTTGGTTTCCCAGTGCATACAAAAGTTATGCTCTCGTACTGTAGTCTATTAAGAGGGGAATAGCATTATGACCAAGAAATCAACACACATACCTTAATCTAAAAATTTTCTTTAAAAAAGTCAACAAAGTGAAAAAGTGAGCCCATGCTGTTAGAAAACATGGCACTGGTAGACTTATTCCATGCAAGGTTGCCACAAACCTTCAATTTGTAAAAACTGCAATATCTGTGGAGTGCAATAAAACAAGGTATGCCTGTATATAACTCAGATGACTCTAAGAATACTTATTTGAATTATAGACAAAAAGAGATGGAAGATACATGTGAAGATGCATGTAGTAATCTAAACATAAGTGACCAGGATTTGCAGCTGATTTGGTGACAAAAAAATGAAGCAGAAAAAGATCTCTGCAAAATATTATACACAGAATCACCAAACCCTCACTCTTTTTTGAAGCCTTTCCATACTAACCTCAACTTTGTATGATTTCTTCAATGATTCCATCACATATCATGTCTTAAAGTTGAACTTTACACATTTATTTCATTGTGTATCTATTAGTTTTTGCTGCTGACTTAGTGACTTAAAACAAAAACAGATTTTTATTTCTTACATGTCTGTCGGTGATCTGGCAGTTCTGGTATGGAGTAACTTTGTCAAGGACTTGATGGTCTGGTTTGTACTCACTCTAATGCCTGAGGTTCTGGCCAGGATGGCTGAAGTGTTTCAGCCTGTCTTTACATGTGGAATTTCATCCTCTCGGGTGAAAGCTAGCTTTCAGCTTCCTGAAAGCTCTCACTTGGAGCTCTCAGGGTTCCCAGCAGTGAGAGAGCATGAGTCTCAATGTAAAAAGACTTTTCAAGGCTCTACTTGAGTTATGTTTGCTAATGTCCCATTGGCCAAAGCAAGGTGCATGGACAAGCCCAGAGTCAGTTGGGGTAGAAATAAAGTCCACTACAAGAGAACCAGCAAAGTCACATTGCAAAGAGATGTACATACAGGAATGGGGGGAGTTCTAACAGTCTACCACACCAGTGTTTCTTAATATTGTTTATTTGTGCACATTTTCTTGATGTTTGGCACTCTAGAGTTAAGGAAATGTCTGCAGCAATCAACAATGTGACAGAAACACCGTAGTCAGTGGGAATTCAAGAAATGTTCCTTGATTTGGTAACCCCCGCAAGTTTGCCTTGAGTTTTCTATTAAGATACAAATTTATTCTCTTCTGGCAGCACCCTTTAATATATGTCTCTTCTTCATCATACACCAAGCCAGCAAGAGAGATAATAATGGGCTTTCTTGGTTATTTTCCATCAAGTGATCCACACTTCTTGGATTCATTTACTACTTAAATTAATCAGTCCTCAAGTTTTCTCTCTTGTGGGTTTAATGCATAACATGTATGTCCATTTTTACTTTCTGATGGTATAATAATACTAGCAAGCACACACAGACACTAGTCATTTAAATGTTTTGTAGCTTATTAGTGAGATTGTACTTGGTTCCTTTAAGAATTTTCACTGTTACCTTTTTCCCTTTTGCTTCCAGCTTGTTTTGGCTAACAGAATTACCCACAGCTGCTTCAGGTTGGTCATTCTTTCTGGGAGAAAAACTATATGGAATGCTGACAAAAGGTGCTCATATTTGACCAGGTTTCTTAGGTTAAATGAATTTGACCTGCGGGCACCTGATGTTGGGGCACCAGCCTACAGATGTGTTTGCAAGAACTGGAAAACAGCCTCTCTAATAAGGACTAGTGGGCGATGATGGAAACTTTTACTTCCATATAAGAATCTTCTTGGTGGATGTGAAAGCACAGGTTAGTAAGCCTGGAAACTGCTAGTGTTTAAATTCTCACTTGAGTAGGGTGAAAGCAAGTCTAGGATCCATTAGCCCTCATATTATCACAACATTGGGCATGTTATTCTGTCAACCAATGAGCAAGGGATAGAACTGTTATTGTCCGGAAAGCCGCCAGTAATGAATTTTTGCACTTTTTAAAGAAGCACTTGGAGGAACTGAAGAATATCCAGAGAAAAGCAATTAGGGGGAAAAAAATGGATCCTGGGAGTTTGCAGAGGAGTTAAGGCTACTTAACCTAGAGGGGAAAATAAGTCTGAGAGGTTTCTACATTAATGAATTTAAATTATAAAGAAGGTGTTGAGCTGCCACTCTCCAACTCCATATATCACTGAACTAAAGAAAAAAAATAATCTTGACTGGCAACAAGAGACATATCAGTGAAATGTAACCCCAAAATTCTTGACTCTAAGGATTGCTAAACAGTGAATGGTAGCAAATCTACTTAGTAAGTAATAAAGAATAAAACCACTGGGCTTTTATACCATATAATTCAGCTTCAAGGGTGGTAGCTAGACTCTATTTCTTTATTTATTGGCCACAATTATTGAACCTCTACGATGTGTCACTGTGTGTGTCAGAAAAAAAGACGGCATGGGCCACTTCCTCAGGCTCCTCCCCAGGCCTAGGACATCTTCTGCACCCGTGATTTATTTTTTATTTTTTATTTTTATTTATTTATTTATTTTGAGATGGAGTCTTGCTCTGTCGCCCAGGCTGGAGTGCAGTGGCGCTCGGCTTGCTGCAAGCTCCGCCTCCTGGGTAAGCGCCATTCTCCTGCCTCAGCCTCCCGAGTAGCTGGGACTACAGGCGCCTGCCACCATGCCGGGCTAATTTTTTTGTATTTTTAGTAGAGACGGAGTTTCACCATGTTAGCCAGGATGGTCTCGATCTCCTGACCTCGTGATCTGCCCACCTTGGCCTCCCAAAGTGCTGGGATTATAGGCGTGAGCCACCGCACCCGGCCGCACCCATGATTTCTACTCACCTGTGTTAAACATTTCTCTGACTTCTTGGTTAGAATACAATATTAGGAACATATGCCTACATATTTTTTCTTTCTTTCTTTGTTTTGTGACGGAGTCTCACTCTGTCGCCCAGCTGGAGTGCAGTCGCACAAACTCGGCTCACTGCAACCCCTGCCTCCCGGGTTCTAGCGATTCTCCTGCCTTAGCCTCCCAAGTAGCTGGGACTACTAAGTAATCAAACAAAAACTTGCACATCAATGTTCACAACAGCACTATTGATGAACCAAAAGGTAGAAACAATCTACAGGTCTATCATCTGATGAATGGAAAAACAAAATATGTTATATCAGTACAATGGAATATTATTCATCCATAAAAAAGCAATAAAGTACTGAAACATGCTACAATATGGATGATTCTTGAAAACATTATAAGTGAAAGTAACCAAACACAAAGATCATATATTGTATAGCTCAATTTGTATGAAATATCCAGAATGGGCTATAAAATAGGTGACAGAATTTGACAATGGATAATACGTGCTGTGTCAGCAAAAGAGGAACAAAGAATGACTTCAATTTCTTTGGTCTGAACAACGGGAAAAATTGAGTTGCCATTTGTTAAGATGAGGAAGAGTGTAAGAAGAGTAGGTTTGGGGGAAGCTGAAGAACTCAGTCTTAGAGATGTTAAGTTTGAAAGACTAGCATGCACTCAAGGGCCTATGTAGAGTAGATAGCTGAATACACTAGTTTGATATTCAGGGGAGTGTTCCGTACTCATAGCACTGTTTAAAACTGTGAGACTTGAATGAGATCACCAGGGTGTGGTTAGAAATAAGAAAAACTTCTCTCTTTTTTTTTTTTTTGCATTATAGCCAGCCTAGTGGATATGAAGTAGTATCTCACTGTAATTTTTGATTTGCATTTTTTAATGATTTTGAGCATATTTTCATGTTTGTTGGTCATTTGTATGTCTTCTTTAGAAACATGTTTATTTAAGTCTTTGTTCATTTCTGAACTAGATTTAAGTATTTTGTTTTTGGAAAACAAAAACTTTTTTGAATAAAAAATTATAAGACTTTTTTATTACATTCTGCATACTAGACCCTAATCAGATATATAATTTGCAAATATTTTGTCCCATTCTCTAGATTGTCTTTTCACTTTCTTGATAATGTCCTTTGATTTATGAGATCTTCTAATTTTTATGAAATACAATTTACCTATTTTTATTTTATTGCTTGCATTTTTGGTGTTATATATAATAATTCATTGTCAAATCTAAGGTTATGAAGGTTTACTCCTAGATTTTCCTCCAAGAGTTTTATAGTTTCTCTGATTCCTTTTGGGCTAATTTTTATGTATAGCGTAAGGTAGGAACAAATATAATATATTTTATAAATAAGTAATTTGTGTTTCCCACTAGAATGTAAGCTTCACCAGGACAAAAATGCATTTTGTTCAATCCTCTTGCAAGCCTAACCAAAAGTGAATTGTGCATAATAAAGGCACATTATTTGTGAAATAATAATGAATAAATTAATCATCCAAAGAATGTTCCAAGAGGAAAAGCAGCTAACATGATCTTGGATTAATATATTACTATTTATATTACTATTCATCTCTAATGAACAAAGTTCAATGAATTTCATCATAGTGCTATAACGACATGCCATAAAAACAATAGCTCATTTTGGCTGGGCGCGGTGGCTCACAGCTGTAATCCCAACACTTTGGGAGGCCAAGGCAGGTGGATCATGAGGTCAGGAGATCGAGACCATCCTGGCTAACACGTTGAAACCCTGTCTCTACTAAAAGTACAAAAAAAAAAAAAATTAGCCGGGCATGGTGGTGGGTGCCTGTAGTCCCAGCTACTCGGGAGGCTGAGGCAGGAAAATGGTGTGAACCCAGGAGGCGGAGATTGCAGTGAGCCGAGATTGCGCCACTGCACTCCAGCCTGGGCAACAGAGAGAGACTCCGTCTCAAAAAAAAAAAAAAAAAGAAAAGAAAATAGCTCATTTCATTCTTACTCTATGATAAGTGATATGGTTTGGCTGTGTCCCCACTCAAATCTCATCTTGAATTGTAATTCCCATAATTCCTACATGTCATGAGAGGGACCCTGTGGGAGGTAACTGAATCATGGAGGCAGTTACCCCCATGGTGCTATTCTCATGATAGTGAGTTCTCATGAGAACTGATGGTTTCATAAGGGGCTTTTCCCCCTATTGCTTGGCATTTCTCCTTCCTGCCAGCATTTGAAGAAGAACATGTCTGCTTCCCCTTCTGCCATGATTGTAAGTTTACTGAGGCCTCCCAAGCCATGTGGAACTGTGAGTCAATTAAACCTTTTTCCTTTATAAATTATCCAGTCTTGGCCAGTGCTTTATAGCTGCATGAGAATGGACTAATACAATAAATTGGTACTGGGTAATGGGATGCTGCTGTAAAGATACCTGAAAATGTGGAAGTGACTTTGGAACTGAGTGACAGACAGAGGTTGGAACAATTTGGAGGGCTCAGAAGAAGACAGGAAGGTGTGGGAAAGTTTGGAACTTCCTAGAGACTTGTTTAATGGCTTTGACCAAAATGCTAATAGTGATATGGGCAATGAAGTCCAGGCTCAGGTGGTCTCTGATGGAGATGAGGAACTTGTTGGGAACTGGAATAAAAGTGACTCTTGCTGTGTTTTAGCAAAGATACTGGCAGCATTTTGCCACTGCCCTAGATATCTGTGGAACTTTGAACTTGAGAGAGATGATTTAGAGTACCTGGCAGAAGAAATTTCCAAGCAGCAAGGCATTCAAGACATGACCTGGATTATTCTGAAAGCATTCCATTTTATGTATTCACAAAGTTATGGTTTGGAATTCGAACTTATGTTTAAAAGGGAAGCAGAGCATTAAAGTTCAGAAAATTTGCAGCCTGACGATGTGATAGAAAAGAAAACCCATTTTCTGAAGAGAAATTCAAGCTGGCTGCAGAAATTTGCAAAAGTAACAAGGACCCAAATGTTAATCACCAAGACAATAGGGAAACTGCCTCCAGGGCATGTCAGAGGTCTTCATGGCAGCCCTTCCTATCACAGGCCCAGAGGCCTAGGATAAAAAAAAAATGGCTTCATAGGCTGGACCCAGAGTTGCTTATTGCTTTGTGCAGTCTTGGGACTTGGTGCCCTGTGTCCCAGTGGTGGCTCAAAGGGGCCAAGGTACAGCTCACACCATGGTTTCATGGCATGCTTGGGGTGCAAGCCCCAAGCCTTGGCATCCTCCACATAGTGTTGAGCCTGTGGGTGCACAGAAGTCAAGAATTGACATTTGGGAACCTCCACCTAGATTTCAGAGGATGTATGGAAATGCCCGGATGTCTAAGCAGAAGTTTTCTGCAGGAGTGGAGACTTCATAGAAAACCTCTGCTAGGGCAGTATAGAAAGGAAATGTGGGGTCAGAGCCCCCATACAGAGTCCCTACTGGGGCACTGCCTAGTGGAGCTGTGAGAAGAGGGCCACCATCCTCTGGGCTCCAGAATGGTAGTTCCACCAACAGCTTTCACCTTCCTCCTGGAAAAGCTGCAGACACTCAATGTCAGCCCATGAAGGAAGCTGGGAGGAGGGCTGTACCCTGCAAAGCCACAGGAGCAGAGATACCCAAGGCTGTGGGAGCCCACCTCTTGTATCACTGTGACCTGGATGTGAGACATGGAGTCAAAGGAGATAATTTTGGAGCTTTAAGATTTGACTGCCCCACTGGATTTCAGACTTGTATGAGGCCTGTAGCCCTTTCATTTGGGCCAATTTCTCCCATTTGGAATAGGTGTGTTTACCAATGCCTGCACCCCCATTGTATCTAGGAAGTAACTAACTTGCTTTTGATTGTACACGCTCATAGACAGAAGGGACTTGCCTTGTCTCAGATGAGACTTTGGACTTGAACTTTTGGTTAAAGCTGGAATGAGTTAAGACTTTGGGGGACTGTTGGGAATGCACGATTATGTTTTGAAATGTGAGGAGATGAGACTGGGGAGGGGTCAGGGGCAGAATGATGTGGTTTGGCTGTGTCCCCACCTAATTCTCATCTTGTAGTTTCCATAATCCCTACATGTCATGGGAAGGACCCAGTGGGAGGTAATTGAATCTTGGGGGTGGTTATCACTATGCTGCTGTCCTCAAGATTGTGAGTGAGTTCTCATGAGATCTGATGGTTTTATAAAGGACTTTCCCCTTTGCTCGGCACTCATTCTCTCTCCTGCCACCTTGTCAAGTGGTGCCTTCCACCATGATTGTAAGTTTCCTGAGGCCTCCTCAGCCATGTGGAACTGTGAGTCAATTAAGCCTCTTTCCTTTATAAATTACCCAGTCTTGGGCAGTCCTTTATAGCAGCATGAGAATGGACTAATACAGAAAGCTAAAACAGTTGAAGTTATTTCAAGTTTCTTTTTCTTTAGAATTTAAAGAAAATCTCATTTAACATTTGCAGTTTACTTTTTTTTATTTGTTTTGTTTTGTTTTTTTTGAGACAGAGTCTTGCTCTGTCACCCAGGCTGGAGTGCAGTGGCATGATCTCGGCTCACTGCAACCTCCACCTCCTGGGTTCATGCCATTCTCCTGCATCAGCCTCCCGAGTAGCTGGGACTACAGGCACCTGCCACCATGCCCGGCTAATTTTTTGTATTTTCAGTAGAGACAGGGTTTCTCCATGTTAGCAGAATGGTCTCAATCTCCTGACCTCGTAATCCGCCCACCTCAGACTCCCAAAGTGCTGGGATTACAAGCATGAGCCACTGCAGTTTACTTTTAAAGAGATTTATATCAAATTACATCTTGATTATCTTGAATTTTAAAGTTCCCTAGAAGGACCAAATGGCCAATAACTATAATTCAAATGGTTCAGAGCTATAAAGAACAAATAGGTAATTTTGAAATTTCACCCATTGTAACTTGGTCATTAACGGAGAATGTGTAAATGTGTAGCACAGATATTATGTGAGGTACTGGTGGTAAGGCGACATAATCCTCAAACTAATGGTTTATAGTAAGGAAGAGAGACACACACAAAATATGAAGCTATGCCATTAATATTAGAAAGAGTGAAAATGCACAGTCCATTCCACAAAACACTACTATTGGACAATCAAAAACACAGATTGTCCAAGAGATGGTGCAAGATAGTTATTTCTTCCAGCAGTTGCCCATCGTTCCCAGTGAGTCTGTTTCCTTTGGACATTGAGGAGCTTTTCTTTCTCTGATGTCACCTCTCCTTGTCCTCCTAAATCTCCCTACACTTTATTCCCTCTTTGTTCCACCAGGGTTCTGTGTCTTCCTCCACTACGTTTTGGCCCATGTAGTTTCTCCCGTAGCAAAATGAAGAATGGGGAGAAGACTTAAGGACTCTGGTGAAAGAGATGAAGGAAAAGTGTTCTTCCTAGTCCAGCATCCACTAAAAATAATCTATTTATAACACAAACCAAGCCCTTTACAGCTGAGATTGATTGTCTCTGTTGCATAATTCCTCTGTTATACTATCAAAATGTCTTTTCTCTGCCTTATCAAACTAAACAAAGAATAAATAAATGAAACAACTCTATTATTATCCTAGTTCTGTATAGCCCAAGACCTCAGAAATGGGGCAGATATGTGCACTTTCCTAGAAAAGTGAATTGGGGTATCAGAAAAATCTCATTTTCACAATAAAAGCAATTTTTAATACTGCTAGTGTAACTCCAATAAATGATGTCAAGCTAAAGTTATTTAGCCTAAACCAGGGCTGACAATCTGATGGCATAGGCTGACAGAGCCATATTGGTTGGTCAGCCCATGGTGGCCCTGATTCATTAGTGACGAGACACAGAAGCTGATACACATTTTTAAAATCCTATGTGACTAACCCCAGGAGCACAGTTGTTAGAGGAGATTTTTCTAGAGTCAACAAGAAACAAAAATTGAAACCAAAACCTTACCAGATGGAACTAACTTTTAAAATTATTGCTAAAACTTTAATTTGAGTTTAATGTAGTATACCTATAAAAGATCTCATTTACCTCATTTTCTGTGGAAAACCCCAAAGCAATTTTGTTAGCACTAGGTAACTAACTCACTGAGTCAGTGAAAAACCATCTAGGTCTCTGCTTTCTTTACACAGTGGAGAAATATAATACATTTGGAAAATAAAATGGATTCCAACTCAGAGCAATAAAACTAATCCTTCTTTAATTATTGAAAGCACTATGTATTCAAAATCCAAATGAACCTTGAAAGTAGATCAATAAAATGTAAAGAGCTCCAATTACACAAATTACTGAACTTCCATAGTGGGCAATCCTCTTTCAGAGTTAAGAAAACAAAAACAGCACACAGGTTTGAATAAAATCAGATCACTTTTAGCTAGCTATAAAGAATCTTATTACCACTTTATCTAAACCTCCTAGATAATTGTTTTATATTTAGGTTCATATAGTATATGGAAGTGACTGGTGCACACGCAAACACACACATACACAATTTTAAAACTACAAACTCAGAATTGAGGGGTGGGGGATAAGTATCTTTATTTTTAAAAAAATGGGGAAAAATTAATACCTCCCCCACCCCATCTTACCAAATAATAGCAACTTTGTCTCCTCTGGTTATAATCATCCATTTCCGGTAAATATGCAAACGATTCGAAGTTCAGCTCCCTTTCAAGGCACCTCTTTTCCTTCTCAAGTTGCGAGGAAAAGCTGGCCCCAGCTCATGTCATTGAGAAAGGGGCCTTTCGTCCCGGTGCCCCACTTCCCTTTCAGTTTCTCATCCTGCTAGCCTGTGGGGAGTAAGCAGCCTCTGTCCTCACTGGCTTCAGTGCTGAAGTGGCTGCAGTTTCACTCATGGTCTGATCTCTTTTTAGAGAAGGGAATTGTGATTTATCCCAGAAAGCTTGCTCGCCTCCTGGCTGTTCAGGACCCCTCTTCTTTTCTCATTGTCATTACAAATCTTCTTTGCTTTGCCTGGCTTCTGTTTAACTCAGCAATTAACATCTTCCTTCTGCATTCCCCTACTGAAGGTACGTGGGAAATTTTCAAATTCCTTCCATCATACATGGAAGGAGGGAGACTCATGATAGTTTTATTTGGCCCCTCTTTGCCTAAACATCTCATGCAGCCATTTCTGCTCTATGATGAGCAGATAGCCAAGGATACCACATTCGGACTTTCAGTTGAGCAATGTACAACACCAGGAGCACAGTTGAGATAGGTTAGAATTTAACTAATGCTCCCTAGAGTTGTGTTGTGCTCACAGTACACAGCAACCCATCATGATAGTTTTCCTCTCAGAGTTTCTAGGAGGAAAGGAGGCACAAAACCCCACCACTTTTAGCTTCCATCTCTGTATATTGTTTTCATCTCTTCCATCTTTCTACAACCACCTTCTCGGGCCATGGCCAAAGAGAGCAACTGATATAAGGATTTGCACCACCTTTTAATGTCTTTCTTTCAACTCAGTTCTTCAAGTTTTTTTCTTTAAACGCCATAACAAAAATACTTTTCCCCTGCTACTTGGATAAGAACCTCTCTTACATTAGGACTTATAATCTTTATACATTATAATGTATAATACAACACTAAGGCATCAGGTTTTGCTCCTGCTATATAAAGGCAAACTTTTGGAATTTAGAATGACATTTTCTTTCTCAACAAAGCTTATTTTTTAAAACTCTTATTATCTTACATGACAAAATCACTTTTGCAACTTAGGCCTGAATAATGACTTCTTTGCCTTCTCTGAGTGATCCATGTGCTCCAGGGATAATGGACTCACTGGGCAAAAAGACTGATGGGGTATGAAAAATAAGGTAAATATTTTTACTTTATATACATGCATTTTTAAAATATTCATTATATGGGATTTAAACTTCTTAAGGATAATGTCCATGACAAATTTATTTTGTTATTAGCCAAAATATATATAATAGGCCTTCAATGAACATTTGAGTAAACTTGTGAATTAAATAAAGTTTGGCTTGTTTGTTTTTTAATGAAATCCAGACTCTAACCTTAATAAAGACTGAGTACAGAAGTTGCTTCTTGGTTAAATGGTGTGACCCTTAATGTGTATGCCAATAAGAAATGTATTTGGATGAGAAAGGCTAGAGAAAGAAATTTCATGTGAAATCCAAAAGAAGAGAAGACACTCTGTGATGGTTAATTTTATGTGTCAACTTGATTGGGCTAAAAGATGCCCAGATAGCTGGTAAAACATGATTTCAAGGTGTGTCTGAGAGAGTGTTTCCAGAGAGACTGGCAATTGAATCAGTAGACAGAGTAAAGAAGATCTGCCCTCACCAATGTGAGTGAGTATCATCCAATACATTGAGGACCTAAATAGAACGAAAAAGTGAAGAAAGGACAAACTCTCTCTCTCTTTTCTTGACCGAAACATTCATCTTCTGTATTAATCCATTCTCACCCTGCTAATAAAGACATACCTGAGACTGGGTAATTTATAAAGGACAGAGGTTTAAAGGTTTCACGGTTCCACACAGCTGGAGAGGCCCCACAATCATGGTGGAAGGTAAAGGAGAAGGAAAGTCATGTCTTACGTGGCAGCAGGCAAAGTGCATATGCAGGGAATCTCCTCTTTATAAAACCATCAGATCTCATGAGACTTATTCATTATCATGAGAACAGCATGGGGAAGACTTGTCCCATGATTTAATTACCTCCCACCAGGTCCCTCCCACAATACATGGGAATTATGGGAGCTACAATTCAGGATGAGATTTGGGTGGGGACACAGCCAAACCATATCATCTTCTTTTACCCTTGTACATGGGAGCTCCTAGTTCTTAAACCTAACCAGGACTTATGCTAGCAGTCCCTCAGTTCTTAGGCCATTGACATTGGACTGGGAGTTATACTATTGGCTCTACTGGTTTTCAGGCCTTTGAACTCAGACTGAATTACACTGCCAGCTTTCCTGCTTATTCAGCTTGCAGAGGTTAATTATGGGTCTTCTTGATCTTCATAATCACAGGAGCCAATCCCATAATAAATCCCCTCTTATATGTCTATATCTATATCATCTATATCTAGATCTAGATCTAGATCCTGTTGGTTTTGCTTTTCTGGAGAACGCTGACAATACACACTGTTACATCTAAGACTTGTGATTCCAGAAAACAAGGAAAACTGAAAAACATAACTCAGAAAGACAACTACTTGTTCTTCCTCTAATCTTGATAGATCTCCAAGTGGACAAGGCTTTTGCAGAAGAAGGGCTATACTTACAACATGGCTAACAGGGCTTCCCTGTTCTTCTCATCAAACACATCACACTTCTTTCTGCTTTAGGAGGTTTGTATTATACTTGCAAGTTTTTGCATAGCTTGTTGCTATTTATACTACAGATCTTTCCTCAAATTTTACCTCCTCTCAAATTCTTTCCTGACCACCTGACATATTATAATCCTGTCCTCCTGTATCCTGACCCCATCACTCTGTCATATCACCCATTTTGGTTTTTTGTACATCTACTAGTTTTTCATGTACTACTTACTTTTTCACTGTGCTTCAACCCTCCCCAACTCCCATGTGACCTTGGCAATGTAATATGTCTACATCTTATTGTTTCATTCTGTAAAATGTGATAATAATATCTACCTCAGAGGGTTGTTTAGAAGGTTTAAGTGAGATTACGTATTACATAATTCATGTAATACAATTAGGACAACATTTGGCACATAGTAAACTCAAAAAACATTAGCTATCGGTACATGAAATAATAAACAGATAAAAAAGCAACCATTGGGCTACCTTCCAAAACTATATGTAGTAAATATTACATAAAGTCTTTGTATCTCAAGCCAATTTCTTTTTCATATCTCAGTTTAGAATCTAATCTACACAAAATGATTTTTTATAAAGGCAAAATTGCAGTTATTCCTTTTCTTGCAATTAAACAGGAATTTTCCTCTGCAAAGCACAGGGCGTGAGATTCAGTTCTTCACCCATCCATCCCCTCTCCAGCCCCCATATTTTTGCTGGCATCAAATGTTAATGGCTGTCAATGACTATATGTTATCCTCTTCACAGGGCTTTCTAAGAATAATAAGTTAAGACAAGGTGTCTTACTTTATGGGAATCACAGTGCTTGTTTCAAGAGACTATGTGATGAAGGAAGTTTTAGTAGGACCAGAGGACCTTTTGGCTGCCACTCGACTACAGCACTGAGATGCCTGCTTATAAAGTTGGTCCAGACTAAACTGCTTGGAAAATGTGAAAATAATTCATGATAAACTGAAATGTAATGCCTTATCTAAATCTCAACACAAGCCCTGTGCTATTATTTTAATTCAATATATAAAATGCTCCAGAAATGTATAGATTTTGACCTGAGATTATTTAGAAAATAATTAAAAACTGTAATAGGCTACCTGATTTGGCACAATTTAGTACATCCTGATGATGTGCTGAAGAGAAACATTGTATATTTGTAATGGTAGATAGAGAAGAAGTTATAGAGAATCATTTACAAAACAGATTTATAATCCTGAATCTGTTCAATTGAACCAAGATCACAGAGACTTCAATAATGTTTTGAAGTCTAGAATGTAGAAATTTTGGAACTTAGCTAGAAAAAAAACAGCACTTAAAACTGTGATGAAAGAATGTATTTTGCTGGAAACAATAGGGTATAAATATAAAGAATAATTTCTTCTTTTGGTCATAGCTGCCAAAGGACAGAACAAAGTTTAACAAAACAAAGGTTCTGAACTAAAGTATAAAGGATAAAACAAAGGGTTTTATTAACAAATTATGTTAAATTAATTTATTCTATAGTCCAAACTATCACACACTGTCTTTTACTTAACTTATTAAGTCATTTTAAAAGTCAAGACTAAAATTCTGCTTAACATTATTGATGAGACCTTACATCTGAATATTATTTTAGCTCATCTACTGAAATTCATTAAGGTGATGACTTTTCTCCTTTTTCCATTCTCATTCAGTAACGCAATTTTAATTCTCAACATTAAAAATAACGCCCTCTATGGGCAGTAGAACTCAGTGAAGTGTTAGCAATCAGCAAAGACCCCCAGCTGAATAGTACCCTAGATGGGGAAAATGAGCCATTTCCCCTCTTCCCCAGCTCATACTGTCAGTTGCCTTTCAAAACAAAGAGATTACATTAAAAACAGGAAAGTATATATATGCTTGTTTTTCCCCTAGCCTGACCAACACCAAAAATGCCCATATTGACTACATTTCTAAATTACAGAGTTGAATACATTCCAAAATATTTTGGTAGACCTGGGTCTTTAGTAATGCATTACAGTGTTTGATACAGTAGTTAGACATAGCTTATTTTTTGGAAAACTTCAGTTGTTCAGTAGCTATAATTTTGGAGCTTCTATAGGCTTTCCTCCTTTATAATCCTTTTACTGATACTTTCATTATTTCATTTACACTTCTTACAACATACATCTATTGTTTCTGTCTCTCCAAAATTCATTCATTCTCATTCTTCTGGAAATGTACTTGGATGTTTCCTAGAGAGCTATATTCCTTCATTCCCAGTTCTTGTGATTCAGTTCATAGTGACCCTCCTCCTGAATCCAAACATAGACACAATACCCACAACAGAGCACTACCTCCCAGTGCCAACACAAATTGATGTGGAAAACGACCTGTGATCCAGACATTTACAAACAGGCATATTCTGTCTGCTGGCCAGAACATTTGAGTCAAGGATGGACACAGGACTCAAGTAAGGCAATGAGGCTCAACTCCAGAACTTTTGGTGAGTACACTGGAATGGAGATTCATTTTCCATTTAGCCGAGATTTGTTTTGTTTTGTTTTATTTTGTTTTGTTTTGTTTTGTTTAAAAAAAAAAAAAAAAAGAAAGAAAGGCCGGGCACGGTGGTTCACACCTGTAATCCCAGCACTTTGGGAGGCCAAGACGGGCAGATCATGAGGTCAGAAGATCGAGACCATCCTGGCTAACACAGTGAAACCCCGTCTCTACTAAAAATACAAAAAATTAGCCGGGCATGATAGTGGGTGCCTGTGGTCTCAGCTACTCGGGAGGCTGAGGCAGGAGAATGGAGTGAGCCCGGGAGGCGGAGCTTGTAGTGAGCCGAGATTGTGCCATTGCACTCCAGCCTGGGCAACAGAGCAAGACCCTGCCTCAAAAAAAAAAAAAAAAAAAAAGACAAAGACAAAGAAAGAAAAGAAAAAGGCAGCCTTGATTTCCTGAGAGCCAGCTTAACCTTCTGTAGGAAGAACTGTCTAAGAAGCCAAAACAGAAAATCATAGGCAAGAGATAGTCTGAATTCTGATGACATTATTTGAGCACCTATATCTAGCTATGTCTCAATACATTCTGCCAAATTTTCAGTTACAGATATACACTAATATTTCTTTTTTATGCAGCATATTTCAATTGGGTTTTATAGCACCTGGAACTTAAATATTTCTCTCAATATATGGCTCCATTGCTTCTACAGAATGAACAAAGATCACTGAATTATTTCAATAGAGAGTAGATTGGAAATTTTGCTTGTTAATCAAGAGATCATTCGGGAAAAAAGTATGGCAACCTAGGGTGTGATGGCTCAGGAAGAAAGCTATTATAATTTTTCTGGGTAACGACATATTTTAATAGCATTAATATAAATAAATCAGTGGGCATATGTGATCAAGTCATGAACTGATTCTTCAAAAATAGGTTCCTTGTAAACAGAACCCAAACAATTCAGCAAGTTTCAATTGAGCATTGTGATAACTGCCAGATTTAAAAACTACACAGCTCAGTCAACTCATAACTTGGTTATATTTTCAAATCTCTGTTTATTCATTCATTCATTCATTTAAGAAATATTTATTAGGTACCAATTCTGGGCCAGTCATCTTGCTACTTGCTGAGGGCATAATATCTACATAGACTAATAAGGACTTATTTTGGCTCATGACCCCAATGGGTTATTTTAGTATTCATTGGTACTTATATTACAAGATAGATAAGAGGGGAAAAAAGGAGATGAAAATCTTTTCAGTTAAATGTCATCACTTGTAAATGATTTTACTGGTGGCTGAGTGGAAAAGTACTTTTAAATGAATGAACAATGTGAAATTTGGAGATTATTTTTCATTTCCATTTTCCTTTAATTTTCTTCTCATCTATTCTAATAAATCATTGATAATTGGCCATGTTCCAAGTGAACAGATTTGCCAGAAAACCCAGGTGATGATGTTCATTATAAGTATTTCAAAAATTGTCACCAGTCACATATTTTTGTCTACACAGGAATTGGAAAGTGGACAACTTATAAAATCATCTGCATAATTCAAGACAAGTGTCCTAATTACTTATGCAAAATAGGGTTTTTGATTATCATAACAAGTTTGACTTTGAGAAAGTCAATAAAATCAAGCAGATTTTTGAATATTATATTATTAAACCATGCTTCCAGGAACCCAAAATTTGAATCTTCATAACTTCACCCCCAACCATACGAAGGAGGAAGTTATTTAGTGCTAATGGTTGCAATCATTATGTTTTAAAGGCAAAGAGAAAATACTGTAAACAAAGCAGGAAAATATTTTGGTGTGTAGCATAAACATGCAAACAATTATCTTAAAATGTAATCTTCATGTGACTTATTAAAGTAGATTACATTTTAATGTGCATTGCAATTTGCACATTATAGAGAGCACTCTATATGCAGCGTTAACTGTGTGACCAGCCTGACAACCTGCACAACTGAAGATATAAAAAAAGAAAAAACCCTCTGCTATCTTTCTCTAAATGGATGTATTTGGTGTTGATAGTCAGATACAGTTTTCACCTTTATCCCAGCTTGTTTCTGACCCAGTGGGTTAGTGTTAATCACCACTGTAGGCACCAATAATTTCCCCATATGTGGAATTTGATAAGTTAGAGCACCCACTTCAATTCAAGAAGATTCCAGCTGACTATCCAGTTATCGCTATGGACAGCTTCAAGCACATCTATGGCTGGCCTTGTATTCTTAGCTTTATCAAGCGCTTTGCACTTTTTGTCTTTTATCTCTTAATTGAGACCTGACTGCAAAAAATGCCTATCTCTTCAACTGGGTTGCATTAAGTATTAACTTTAACTGCTTTGGGTACTTGAGGTACAGAAGAGAAAAAAAAAAAGCCTTAAGAAGCTGTGTAGAGTGGAAAATCTTTCCAAATCTGTATTTATTTATAAATTGTATAAATGCTACAGCATTTTTTTAAAAGTAAATAAATCTTTATCTCTTTTACAGATTAAAAACAGTGTTTTTATTACCGACTGGAAGAAAGTTTATGAACCCTCCATCATATTTGGCAGTAATAATAATCCCACAATTCTGGCCAAAATAGATAATATTTAGGAAGAGTAAATAATTCAAAAACAATAGATGAGAAGAAAAACTTTGTGTTTTATGTCTCTGGAATGTCTATGGACTGTCTCTTTTCTATAAGATATGCAAATCGGTTTTTATTTGAGCAAAGGGTGCATGAATCCAAGGATTCGGGAATGCTTGTACAGGTTCTGAGTCTTAAAATTTCCTTTTCTGAATATTTTCCATTTCTAAATATCATCGAATTTGTACTATTTTGTGAACTCATTGAGAGCTCTGTCTGAGCCTTTTTATCTTTCTATCTCAGCTTCCTGCATACAGTAGACATTCAACTAATGCTCCCTGAATGGAATGGCATTCACTCACTGAATGGAGTGGAATGGAATGGGGCCTTGCTGTGACTTCCTATGAAATCTTCCTGTGACTTCCTTATGAGTTCATCTGTGAGAAATGTCAAATTCTGCTGTCACCATGGCACCTATGACATGTTCTTCCATGACAATACAGAAGTAATAATTAGAGAATACATGTCATGAACAAAACAATAGCATTAGACAGTGGCACTGAAAAACCAAAACTCTAGAAAAAAAGTAATTTGCTACTGAGGGGCCTGAATGTCATAATTGAAACGGTGCCATTCAATTTTTATACTGACAGCTAAAAACTCAGAATAAATGTTAGGTATTACTGATTAGATGTCCCCTCAATCAAAATATGTTTAACTAAATCTAAGTCTAGACAAGAAACATCTCCCTAAGAATCAGATTAAAGAAATGGCACATGGACATCATGATAAGCAAAGCTCTAAAATAAATATAAGCCAAGAAGATTCAAGAAATCATAGAAAAACAAATAAGATTGTCATTACAAACAAATCAATATTACTAATATTACTAATATTTAAAGAGAAAGTACCTTTCCACCTATTGTGTGTAATTCCAGTTAAAAATTTAGTGGGGGACCATCAATTGAAGGGTGCATAATAAGAGGTGTCTATACTAGGCAGACTTTGTTTTGAGATTTTGATACGTAGTCATTAGTTCCCAAGTCCATGTCCCAACCAGAAGTATTGTCTGGATCCAGGTAAAGTTACTTGTTACCAAAGAGCTATCTAGACCTGAGAAGGGGATGAAAAGAAAAGCGAATCAAAATTCTAAAGATAAACAAAATGTTAATTCCAAATGAGAAGAAATTTTATCCCCAAACACCTCAGTTGGTACCACAGCACCGCAGGATGGAAAAACTTAATGTTTCACTCACTCATTCATTTCTCAAATTTCTGAGGTCCTTCTGTGTGGAGCAACAGGATAATAAAATGAACATGCTATTTCTGCTGTTCTCCAGGCTTAGTTGGCAGAGAACACTGCTTGTATTTAATATTGGGAATCATTAAAATCTGAACAAGGGAGTTTTATGAATAGTGTTAATTGATAGTGAATAACACAACCTATTCATCACCTATACCACCTACAATGGAATCAAGATTTTCCTCCAAGTTTCCTAATTTGCTCTTGGTCAGATGCATTTATCTTCCCTTGTGCCCACCCACACCAAACCCCAATCTCTACAAGAATTACAGTGCAGCATCACTAATATTCACTAGTAAAACCTACACTTATTATGAGCATCAATGATATTATTAACAAGGGCTTAAAACTTTTTCTGTAGACATGGAGAATATGTGAAAAGAAGTATATTTTTCTTTTTGCTTTTAACTGAAAATTCTAAAATTCCCCCTCCCCGCTTTAAAGGAAAGACCAAATACTCTCATTTTATTGTTTTCTTATAAGCTCATAAAATTTTAGCTTTGTGTTACTTTTTCAAAGACTCTATTAAACTTGATACATGAGACTAGCAGGCTGCCACAAACTCATAAAAATCTGTTCAAAGAATTGCTGCCTAGCGGTGGAAATTGAATGGCAATTTCTAAGAATCAAGCTAATGGCTTAAACTATAGAAAATGTGAAGCCTACTAATAGATAATTTAGGATTTCCCCTCTCCGCCCTCCACCCCCCACCACCACCACCACTGGAGAGAATGAACATGAGCTTGAATAAAATTGCACCAAGATCTTATTAATCTTCTGTCTGTAAAAGCTCAATTTTCCTAAGCAATGGGCTGTGGTACACATACCACATTAAAATCTATGCTTAAAATGTTCTCTATATTTTGGAGCTAAAAGTTCTACACCTTTTGACTATGTGAACACTTGTATTATTGTCAGTTTCAAGAGTTAAATATTCCAGCAGGAATTTGTTACTACACGGCGGTACGTAATGCCTGAAAACCTCCTGCACCAATATTGCTCTCAAATTGGCAGCAAGTGAACAAGGGACATGAAGGATGCTTCAGCACAGTAACCTATCCTTCCTTCTCTCCTGGGAGCCACTTGGCCAGCTTTCATCCTCATAATTATAATAAATTTGACATTTCATAGATAATATTGATTTCTGTATTTTAGCATTTCACCATAGGTGACAGTCTAGCGTCAAGAATGAAATTTCTATTGATCTCCTGCGCATTAATCTCTCATGTGTATGTGATCATTTTTATAAGACCTTTTACTGCACATAAATCAATATTTCATATTTCCAGCTATGCCAGAGGAGATGTCATATTTGTAAACTGTGAGTTGACACCTGCAATTCCTTCCTGTTCAGCTTCAACTATTCAGTAACAGTCGATTCAGGGTTGGAAAAGGATCAAGCTCAAGAAACAAGGTAGATGAAAGGCATAAATGTAGACTAGAGTAATTAGCTTAATGAACAAAGAAGACAAGTAAGTCAAATAAAGTGAAATAATGTTTCTCCTATAAAAATTGCTTCTGTGGACAAAAGCATCTGTAAAACAGCTTTTCATGCTTTCTAGGGAGCTGATACTGGATTTGAATGTCTGTGTTAATAAGGAACTCTAAAATGCTTTTAAATAATTGAGTAAAAAGACCTATTAAATCTTGTTGGATAAGAAACTCATGATAATTTCAAGAATTTTTAACATAAAAGTATATGATCTTCTTATCCACAACACCAATAGAGTACAAATGCAGATTAAACAGTTTTCAGAACTTTGATGTTTCCTAATTTAGCAAGCAATTTACAAAATAAGTAAATTTTCATATTTGATAATTTTTCCATTTAAACAAATAAGATCTTTGAATTTTATGTGACTATAGTGATTAATCAAAATAGAATCATATTATGAACAGAATGTGAGTTCTTCTTGAAATAAACTTTAATGCAGAGTGGGAACTAACAAGTATTTTTAAAGAGTAAATTATTCATTCTAAAGAGACACTACTCATAGGTATTTAAGGATCTACTAAAGTATTTATTTTGCCAATTTCAATGGCATGTAAAAATTATTGTGAACTTGCATATAATCTTGCTGGACTTGGCTATGCTTCATCATTTCCAAAGCTGTTTTCTACTTATTAAATAATTGGAGTTTATCCATTATGTATTTTAAGAGCTTTGGGGATGAATAAAATCACTGGACACAAGCTGATCTATGTGAATGTTTGTTTCCATCTATAAATTTTCCCTCACTATTCTTACTTTTTCTGATAAAGGTCATTAAATGCAAAAGTCAATTTGGACTAGTCTAATATAACTGGAAAGATATGGAGAATAGAATCCTATTTTGTACAGCATTAACATTTATTATTTACAAAATCGCTGTTCCACATATTTAGAGAAATTCAGAACTCCAAACCTTATGCTATAAACATTTTCAGAATCTGACAAAGATGCTTTTAATTCAATATAGTGTTTGCTGGCTTAAAAGGAACTACTTTTTCCCAGATAAAAGTGGACTTGGAAATGTCCACCTTCTAGCAATTTCCTATAGTCACTATTGACACTCTATTATTTCAAATTATATGTCGTTTCACTAGAAGGAAATTCTGCTCTTGCTTATTTTTTAAAGGCCAATCCTTTTTGCTGGTTTCTGAAACATGTTCATGGCCATAAAATATGTCAGCAAATGACTGTTTTAACGTGATGACAGACACATTATGGGAGTGTGACTGACTAGTGTACGAGTGACTATATTTCAAAAGTTGTGTCAGTTTTTGACTGAAGGAGCACAATTAAAAAAAACAACTAGGCTGAATAGTACGGTATTACTAAAGAAAAGTCAGCAAATGAAGTGCATCTTTACAAATACTTCAGTTTTCTCAGGTGTCACAAGAATTAGTAGTGAGCTTTAAGCATTGTACAATTTATTGTGTTTTAGAGCAAATTAACACTCAAAGAGCTGGGCTATGTGTACTCAAAACTTCAGAACTTTGATTATTAATATCTAAGTTGACTAGGACTGGTGCTCTCATTTTGACTTAATTAACTTTCATTCTATAATTTGGCACTTGTTTCTTTAAGGTGAAAATTTCTGAGCTCTGAAATCCCAAACCTGAAATGACCACCTATATTCCTTGCTAATATCTCATCTTTAAGCAAGTTAAATAAAGAACTAGAGATTAATTCTCTTAGGGAAAAAATATTCCCCCAATGATGTGAGCAGAAACTTTCAGCAGTGTTTAGATGAAGTAATGCTTTCAAAATTATGGAGGATATTTTTAAAATAGTGTTTTAATTTGTGCTTGATAATTTTGCTATTTCTTTTAGTCACTTTCTTGCCTCACACTTGTGAGTTGACTTCTATATTCCAGAACCCATAGAGATTTCTACCAGACACAAAACATCATTACATCTACTCTCATTCTTTCCCACTCTATTGCCTACATATAATATTTACTGCTTTTAGTAAGGCTGGTTTGTCATCCACTTGTTTCCCATGCCCTCCATGGACACATTTTGCCATTGCAATTAACTATACTATAATTTTAAGCATTTGTATTTCTTCCTTTTCCACAAATTGAGATATCTTTTTTTCTGTTAATATTCCCAAACACACAGTCTCTAAAACCATTAACCAAATAAGCAAATCTTTATGGAATGAATGAATAGATAACACGATTAGTGGCATATTTATAATACGATGTTTTAAATTAAGAGGGGTCATTAATTAAATGATGTGGATTATACAAAATAATCCATCATTTTATTTTAACAACTGTCAATTTAATCTCCTTAATATCATTTTTTTAAATCAAAAGATACTTGGCCTCTAGAAGGCGCTCAGTAAATCATCCAGACAGTATAGTACAAGAAAGTTTTTAGGTCTTGGTGCAAACAGGGGCAATATTTTTTAAAATTTATGTGTGCTGTATATGTTAGTAATTTTAAAACATACATGCTGTTAGTGTTTCAATATGGAAGAAATAAAGGTTCTGATTATTACATTCAGAGTATATTTCTAAAATCTTATAATTCTAGAATAACAATGTATTTTTTCCAGATAAGATATTAAAAATACATTTTTTCTTCATACTAACTTTCTAAATATAGATATTAACTGAACATTATATACTTTTAGAGAAAATTTGGCTTAATATTTCAAATAAACTTTCCTTTATCTAAAATTTTATAATACATAAGTCAAAATTCCAAGTTCTAACTAAAAAAATTGAGAGAAAAAATGTACAGAAATTATTTGAACTCAGGGAAAATCTTAAAGTGAAATTTAAAAATGTCAAGAAACATCGATCACAGAATTTTACAGCCAGAATCAGTTTGATTATTTAACACCAAATAGTGACCTCCGTATAAATTATATATTTAAATCAATTGGTATTAAACCAAAAGATCCAATTTTTAAAATAAATTTGATGTCCTAAAATTAAGAGACTGACATCAATTTTATCATGAAAAATTCCATTATAATCCCTACTACTTGAGAAATTAGCTGCTCAATATTGACATGGACACTGAGAAGAAAAATACATTTTGGCATAAAATTAGGAAGAATAAAATTATTATTATGGGAGGCTTCATATTCAAAAACAACTAAAGCATTTTAAAATATACCATTTACAATAACAAAAAGAGAGTTAACTGCTCGGATCCCATTGAAGTTCATGAAGTTGATATACTGTAGCAATCAAAATTCTCAAGATTAATATTTCATGACAGAATACCTGGATTTAGGGCCAGGCGAGGTGGCTCACGCCTGTAATCCCAGCACTTTGGGAAGCCAAGGCCGGCCAATCACCTAAGGTTAGGAGTTTGAGACCAGCCTGGCCAACATATAGTAGTAAAACCCTGTCTCTACTGAAAAATGCAAATATTAGCTGGGTGTGGTAGCGCACGCCTGTAGTCCCAGCTACTTGGGAAGCTGAGGCAGGAGAATCACTTGAACCCAGGAGGTGGAGGTTGCAGTGAGCCGAGATCATGCCACTGCACTCCAGCCTGGGCAACACGGCAAGACTCCATCTCTCAAAAAAAAAAAAAAAAGTAAAAAGAAGAGAAAGAATACCTGGAATTTCTTCATTCAAATAAGAAAAAGTATATTGAATAACAGGGACTGAAACGTATATATATATATACTATACAAGTATCTTTACTAAGGATTCTTATGGGGTATATTTATCCAAAAATATCTTCCATTGTTAAGTTATCAATGTCAACCACATGTATTAAGGAAAACATTAGATTCGAATTTCCATGGAATTTTTTTAAGTGTTTTAAAATTAAAATGATAAAGCATGTAAAGACGAAAAAAATTGATCAAGAGATAAATATATAAATTAAAGGGTTCAATGGATATGTTTTTATCGTCGTTTTATCAAGAATAATATGGAAATTTGTATAATGCCTAAAAATGGAGGAAAAGGAAATGATTCACTTGCGTCCGCTGGTTCTTCAGAGCTAAAATTGTAAGTAAAAGAAAGAAGATTGATTTTGATTACAATCAGAGCACAGTACAGAATATTTTGTTCATAGCTTACTCATAGAATCTTTTTAAAATGTTTTTACTTTGGTTCTGATCTCCCAAAATTTAAACGATAAAAAGAAAACTAAAGAACATGGAGAATTTACCCAAGTAAGGCTGAACTTAAAAAATAATTCTAGAGAAAACATGATAAAGTATGTATTACCAGATAAATCTATATGCCAAAATATGATTAAAAGTAGTAGTCAAACCTAAAGAACAGAAGACTATTGAAAAGAAGTATCATTCTTTTTAAGAATGATAAAGACTACTTTCTTCGCTTTAGCTTAGCTCCCTTCTATTCATTGCATTTTCTTAGGAACATGTCTATTCATTCTCCTAATAAAGTCCTCTCTGTGCAACCTTTGAAGAATTTTTTTCCAAACTTTTTTCTGAGATTCAGGGTTATATGTGCAGGTTTGTTACAAGGGTATATTGTGTGATACTGAGGTTTGGGGTACAATTGAACCCATCACCCAAGTAGTGAGCATAGTACCTGACAGATAGCTCTTCAATCCTTGCTCCCCTCTCTTCCTCCCCGTTTTTATAGCCCCCAGTGTCTATTGTGAAGAACATTTTCCATGATGAATTAGGAATATCTTTATTCCATTTTACAGTCCTGCTTAACAAAGTTTCTTATTGTAAGGCCAAAGTTATAACCAAGAAGGTTTTGTAAAAGAAGAACATTAAGAAAAAAAAAGTTAGAGAAATCAAATAAATCAGTAAAAAGAAGAACCTACAACCCAATACAAATGGATAATGGAAATTTACAGTAACAGGAAAATAACTAATAAACTTTTAAGGTGTTCAAACTCATTCACAGTTAAATAGTTAAAATAGGATACTAATTTTTGCCTAACCAATTGGCAATTGATGTTTATTGATAACCATGATGTAGAGAAATTAGACTCCTATACTCTACTGGTAAGCATATACATCAGTATTACTTTTTAGGAGTAATTTGGTAATATCTTTCAAAATGTACCGGTACCATGCTGTTTTGGTTACTGTAGCCTTGTAGTATAGTTTGAAGTCAGGTAGCATGATACCTCCAGCTTTGTTCTTTTGGCTTAGGATTGACTTGGCAATGCAGTCTCTTTTTTGGTTCCATATGAACTTTAAAGTAGTTTTTCCAATTCTGTGAGGAAAGTCATTGGTAGCTTGATGGGGATGGCATTGAATCTATAAACTACCTTGGGCAGTATGGCCATTTTCACAATACTGATTCGTCCTATCCATGAGCATGGAATGTTCTTCCATTTGTTTATGTCCTCTTTTATTTCATTGAGAAGTGATTTGTAGTTCTCCTTGAAAAGGTCCTTCATATCCCTTGTAAGTAGTATTCCTAGGTATTTTATTCTCTTTGAAGCAATTGTGAATGGGAGTTCACTCATGATTTGGCTCTCTGTTTGTCTGTTATTGGTGTACAAGAATGCTTGTGATTTTTGCACACTGATTTTGTATCCTGAGACTTTGCTGAAGTTGCTTATCAGCTTAAGGAGATTTTGGGCTGAGATGATGGGGTTTTCTAGATATAAAATCATGTCATCTGCAAACAGGGACAATTTGACTTCCTCTTTTCCTAACTGAATACCGTTTATTTCTTTCTCCTGCCTGATTGCCCTGGCCAGAACTTCCAACACTATGTTGAATAGGAGTGGTGAGAGAGGGCATCCCTGTCTTCTGCCAGTTTTCAAAGGGAATGCTTCCAGTTTTTGCCCATTCAGTATGATGTTGGCTATGGGTTTGTCATAAATAGCTCTTATTACTTTTAGATACATCCTATCAATACCTAATTCATTGAGAGTTTTTAGCATGAAGGGCTGTTGAATTTTGTTGAAGGCCTTTTCTGCATCTATTGAGATAATCATGTGGTTTTTGTCTTTGGTTCTGTTTATATGCTGGATTACATTTATTGATCAGAGATACAGATGAATGTAACAGAACAGAGCCCTCAGAAATAATACCATACATCTACAACTATCTGATCTTTGACAAACCTGACAAAAACAAGAAATGGGGAAAGGATTCCCTACTTAACAAATGGTGCTGGGAAAACTGGCTAGCCATATGTAGAAAGCTGAAACTGGATCCCTTCCTTACACCTTATACAAAAATTAATTCAAGATGGATTAAAGACTTAAATGTTAGACCTAAAACCATAAAAACCCTAGAAGAAAACCTAGGCATTACCATTCAGGACATAGGCATGGGCAAGGACTTCATGTCTAAAACACGAAAACCAATGGCAACAAAAGCCAAAATTGACAAATGGGATCTAATTAAACAGAAGAGCTTCTGCACAGCAAAAGAAACTACCATCAGAGTGAACAGGCAACCTACAGAATGGGAGAAAATTTTTGCAATCTACTCATCTGACAAAAGGCTAATAGCCAGAATCTACGAAGATCTCAAACAAATTTACAAGAAAAAATCAACCCCATCAACAAGTGGGCGAAGGATATGAACAGACACTTTTCAAAAGAAGACATTTATGCAGCCAAAAGACACATGAAAAAATGCTCATCATCACTGGCCATCAGAGAAATGCAAATCAAAACCACAATGAGATACCATCTCACACCAGTTAGAATGGTGATCATTAAAAAGTCAGGAAACAACAGGTGCTGGAGAGGATGTGGAGAAGTAGGAACACTTTTACACTGTTGGTGGGACTGTAAACTCATTCAACTATTGTGGAAGACAGTGTGGCGATTTCTTACAGATCTAGAACTAGAAATACCATTTGACCCAGCCATCCCATTACTGGGTATATACCCAAAGGAATATAAATCATGCTGCTATAAAGACACATGCACACGTATGTTTATTGTAGCACTATTCACAATAGCAAAGACTTGGAACCAACCCTAATGTCCATCAATGATAGAATGGATTAAGAAAATGTGGCACATATACACCATGGAATACTATGCAGCCATAAAAAATGATGAGTTCATGTCCTTTGTAGGGACATGGATGAAGCTGGAAACCATCACTCTCAGCAAACTATCGCAAGGACAAAAAACCAAACAGCACATGTTCTCACTCATAGGTGGGAATTGAATAATGAGAACACTTGGACACAGGAAGGGGAACATCACACACTGGGGCCTGTTGTGGGGTGGGGAGAGCGGGGAGGGATAGCATTAGGAGATATACCTAATGTAAATGACGAGTTAATGGGTGCAGCACACCAACATGGCACATGTATACATATGTAACAAACCTGCACAGTGTGCCATGTACCCTAGCACTTAAAGTATAATAAAAATATATATATATAAAATTAACTTGTGTATATTTAATATATCTAAAATGTTACCAATTTGGCATGTAATCAATAAAAAATAAAACATATTACACTTTAAAAAATATACCTTTCATAATGAAAAATGTATATACTATTAGACTGAGGAAATCTACAAGAATTTGCAACATGTTTGTACAAAAATGTACACCCACACACACAAAGGTATAGCAGCTAATTTTGTAAAATCAAAAACCAAAGACAACAAAATGTCAATCAATAATAGACTGGTTAACTAATACATGCTATATCCATAAAAACACATATTACGCATGGAAAACACAATTACATTCATGTAAATTTGTATATATTATAGTAATTACTTCCCAATAAATTATAAAATTCATTTGAAGAAAGTATATCTGGTTTACAAAAAATTGAAAATACTTAGTTTAATTCAATAAACATGTCTTCTTGAAGAAGTATAAGTTTGAGGTTTGTGGTGAGAAAGAGGATGTTTTTCAACTTTTAATTTTTCCTTTCTGTACTGTTTTAATTTTCTAAATATATTTGATTATTATTTTTGAATAATTTTGAATACAAAACAATTGATTTTCTAGACAGATTATATTTTTTTCGCCTTTCATTGCTAAAAATGTGTCTACGTATCCTTCGCCCACTTTTTGATGGGGTTGTTTGTTTTTTTCTTGTAAATTTGTTTGAGTTCTTTGTAGATTCTGGATATTAGCCCTTTGTCAGATGAGTAGATTGCAAAAATTTTCTCCCATTCTGTAGGTTGTCTGTTCACTCTGATCTAGTTTCTTTTGCTGTGCAGAAGCTCTTTAGTTTAATTAGATCCCATTTGTCAATTTTGGCTTTTGTTGCCATTGGTTTTCGTGTTTTAGACATGAAGTCCTTGCCCATGCCTATGTCCTGAATGGTATTGCCTAGGTTTTCTTCTAGGGTTTTTATGGTTTCAGGTCTAACATTTAAGTCTTTAATCAATCTTGAATTAATTTTTGTATAAGGTGTAAGGAAGGGATCCAGTTTCAGCTTTCTACATATGGCTAGCCAGTTTTCCCAGCACTATTTATTAAATAGGGAATCGTTTCCCCAGTGTGGCAATTCCTCAGGGATCTAGAACTAGAAATACCATTTGACCCAGCCATCCCATTACTGGGTATATACCCAAAGGATTATAAATCATGCTGCTATAAAGACACATGCACATGTATGTTTATTGCGGCACTATTCACAATAGCAAAGACTTGGAACCAACCCAAATGTCCAACAATGACAGACTGGATTAAGAAAATGTGGCACATATGCACCATGGAATACTATGCAGCCATAAAAAATGATGAGTTAATGTCCTTTGTAGGGACATGGATGAAGCTGGAAACCATCATTCTCAGCAAACTATCGGAAGGACAAAATAACGAACACCGCATGTTCTCACTCATAGGTGGGAATTGAACAATGAGAACACATGGACACAGGAAGGGGAACATCACACACTGGGGCCTATTGTGGGGTGAGGGCGGGGGGAGGGATGGCATTAGGAGATATACCTAATGTTAAATGACGAGTTAATGGGTGCAGCACATGAACATGGCACATGTATACATATGTAACTAACCTGCACGTTGTGCACATGTACCCTAAAACTTAAAGTATAATTAAAAAAAAGTGTCTACAAGCTTTTTGAAATTTAATATGTATTACATACACTTATATATTATATACACATAAAAAACAAAAAGATCATATATAGAGTCAAATATTTAATTAGATAAAATCATATAGACATATATGATTGTGTGTGTGAGTGTGTATCGACATCCCTGAAGAATGTGCTGAGAGATCACGAAATCATAAAATGATGTCATCGCGAAGTTATCTGATTTTCCTAAATGCCTGTAACTTACATGTCCCTCTTTATCCTGGGCCTCAAAATACGCTCATTTCTTTTTTAATATTTAAGTTAATATATTTCCAAGCCCCCATCTCTCACATTGGAGAGGCACCATAGCACAGTGAGTTAAGAATGCAGATTCTAGAGCCAGACTACGTGGGTTTAAATCGGACTTCTGCCCCTTACTAGGTAGAGGACTTTGGGCAAGTCACAAGTTTCTGTATTTTGGGTTCTCTTCTATAAAATGGAAAACATTCCCTACTCTTGTTTCTGGTATTCTAATGATAACACAAGTTAACATAAGTAAAGCCCTTAGAGGAGTAAATTGCTGCACAAACATTAACTAGGATTAGCATTCTCTCTCCAGATGTTCCCAAAAACTCCCATGGCTGCTTATTCAGTCCAGTTCAGACAGCTCTTGCTATTAGCTGTAGAAACTCTGATCAGTCATCCAAAGGAAACCATTTTCTCAGCTTTGCTGCTGTCACCTTACACAGTATCACCAAACAAATATGGGCAGCCTGGGCTATGGAAGAAAAATGCATTCATTGGATAAATATTTGCTGAGTGCCCTCTATGTGCCAAGCATTCTCCTAAGCAGTGAGAATATAATCGTGATCAAAGCCCCTACTCTCATGGAGCTTACATTTTATTGACCAAGGTCATATTCAAAACCCCAAATTTAGCAGTCTAACACTGAATTCCACCAAATAAGTTGATTTTTTCCAAACCACTCTTATTTTTAAATGCTGCTAGAATAAGAGGTGACAGAAAGAAGCCCTGAACGCTTTTCTGACAACTCTCCACGAAAAGAATGCTTCATTTTAACTTGGATTTATATGGAAAGTGCTTCTTGTTACAAAACTAAGAAAAGAATATTACATGTATGACTATGTGTGTATTTGTGTATGTATGCATGACAAAACTGTAGGGTCAGCAATATATGTTAAATTAAATTGCACCTGCAAGCAGCAAAACAAAAGAACTTGACTTTTATTTTATTTAGGATTTACATTTTTATTTTATTTAGGATTAAAATTTAAATCCTCAAACTCTATAATTTTCACTCAAGATGCACTCAGGTATCAATGGAAAACGTTAATAGAGGTAAATATTTTGCAGTCAACACCAAAGCCTTAAACCTGAGCTCAAATGTATACATATATAGGGTTTTCCACCCAGTAAATGTGAATACATTTTACTCTTTGTCCATGGCAGAGATCCTTGAAAAACTGATTCTACATGCCAGTGATGTAATTTCACAGAACTCAAGAAAGGAACAACACTGATCGGCAAAACCCCCGATACCACTCTAGCCCAGCCAAGTTGCTTCATAATTCCATCACCATAAAACAATGAAGAATACAAAACATCAATGCATAGCTCTCTCTAATCAAATTTGCATTCTTTGAAAAGTCCAGTTCCATAATGGAGAAAACCCCAAGTAATGAAATGAGGAATCTACCTACTTGCTAAATTGAAAATTCTTTATGAGCACAACCAAACTGAGATTATTTACATGCTTATAGACTCTCACAATGTTTTCCCAAGAGGGATTACATTTCCCATTCCAAAAGAGAGAAACACAGAACTGCATTTATCTGGAAAATAGTATGCTGTGATTCGGTAAAGCCTACTGTCTCAAATGGGAGTTACTTCAACATGCATTTTTTTTATTACACACATATCAAAACAAGCATTTTTCATACTCCATACCCATTAGTTTAGGATTTGTTCTCATGGTTAAAAAAAAAATAGCAGCTGGAAACTGAAATCATGCAAAAATACTGTTTTTAACCCTAAAGTTACATGTTTGTATAATATATATTCATTCATTCAAAATAATATTGATCATTTACCACATAGCAAACATGGTACTACATACAGCAGTATGTAAAATACATGGGAGTCTTACCCTCATGTAGCTTGAAGTATTATGGAGTAGAAAGTAAACACACTAATAAATACCTAATTACAAATACTGATGGATGCAACACAAATAATAAACAGCCATGAGGAAGAGGTTCGCTTCAGACTGTATGGTCAGGGAAAGTGTCTGGGGAAAGGGTTTCAAAATGAAATGAGAAAAGTATTATCTTCAAACAACATGGCATTTGGTGAACTTTTGGCAGCACTAAGACACTCAAAGCAAGTAACCATTAGAAACGTAGAAGCTTTTTCCAAACCAGTACTCCAGACAACCACACACTGTAGAGTTCAGAGAGTACAAAACAGCAGATTCTTCAGAGATTCTAGCTTCTCATGCATATCATGCAATAGGGAATACCAAATTTTTCAGTGACACCTTGTACAAAAAAGCAAATATCTTTGTGGAAATTGACCATAATTTAAATCAGCAAGGAGTGTTCTTTGGGTAATCATCACCACCCTAAAAACACTCAGCCCTAATAAACTGGCAACCACCTTTTATGAAAACCCTCAAGAGTCCAAATTTCCCCAGCAGGAACTCATATAACTGCTGTGATGGATTATATGTTGTTCTACATTTTCTCTCTTCAGAAAATCTTTGAAATCTTCTTCTCAGCACTTAGAGACAGCACATGATTTCAGAGGGAAGAAGTGGTGTAAATTAAAAGAGACTCATTCTTTGCTTATTTCTGGTGGAGAGAATGATGTCAGGAAAGTAAAGATGTTGTGAGAGCACAGTTAGATAAACAATGATACAGAGATGTATTGGAGTGCCAACTGCAGAAATGTTCTAGTGATGTAGGAAGGAATGGAATACCCAGCTAGATTCTGGGGAAGACAGCCCAGAAAGACCAGTGAATGGAAAAATGAAGAGTAAGTCTGGATGAAGCTGTGACATGTAGTTGAGCTACACACAGTGATTTGGATATCTACCAGGATGTATCCATTAAGAGAACTCTTACTTATAAAACCCAATTTAAACTGACTTAAGCAAAATAATTTATTGGTTCACATGACTGAAAGGTCCAAGGGAGTATACTGAGCTTCAGATATAACAAGAGTTCAGAAGTTCAAATGATGTCATTGAAACCAAAATAGGCAGCTCTGCCTTGACGTTTGCTGGCTTCAATTGCTAAGTACAATGTGTTGACTTCTGACAGTTTCAGGCTTTCTCTTGTGGTAGCAAGATGTCTATTTTTTTTTCTTTTTGAGACAGGGCCTCACTCTGTCACCCAGGCTGGAGTGTGGTGGCATGATTATATCTTACTGTGGTCTTGAGCTCCTGGGTATAAGCTATCCTCCCTCTTCAGCCTCTTGAGTAGCCAGGACTACAGGCACGTGCCACCACATCCTGCTAAATTTTTTTATATTTATATGTATTTTTGTAGAGACATGGTCTTGCTATGTTGACCAGGCTGGTTTCTAACTTCTGGCCTCAAACAATCCTCCTGTCTTGGCCTGCCCAAGTGCTAGGAATTGCAGGAATGAGTCACCACTCCCAGACAAGACGTTTAATTTTGAGTAAGAGACTTTTTCCCAGTATTTTCAGCAAGTGATTTATTTTGTCTCACTGGCTCTGATTGGGTGTCATGTTTAACCTAAAGCAATACTTGTGTCGAGAGTAGAGTGATGCTCAGGTTATAGGTCAGGGTGAAGCTCCACCAAACCAAATGAGCTGAAAATGGGGAGAGAGTGAGGACATCCAAGAAGATGTTCAAAGGGATGCCAGGAAGAATACCACACTGGGCTTCACTAAATATACAACAATTAAACTCTATACTTAGAATGTATACAGAAATAAGAAGGATTAGAAAAAAAGAAATTTGGGGAAAGTGCCCTTTTCCTGCAAAGTTCTGGAATGTCAATGCCCAATAAAACAAAATTGTATAGGTTTACGTCAATGTCAGGGCATCAGCTTTCCTCTTGTATGAGCCCTACAAACATTTTCACAAAAAGACATCCTAACAAGGAAGTATTCCTCTGCAGCTACAATCTGATATTTACTATACTATACCTTGTTCAACAGATTACTAGGCATCATGAGTTCTGAAACAAAACATAAACACTTTAAAAAGTTATATTGAATACCCTTTTAGAATGTTATATTTTCACCTTAAGAATATTGTGGTGGAACCAGAATAGTCTCAAAGACCAGTTAAAGCAGGGGACCCCAACCCCTGGGCAATAGACCAGTACTGGTCCGTGGCCTGTTAGGAACCAAGCTACACAGCAGGAGGTGAGCGGCAGGCAAGTGAGGGAAGCTTCAACTTTATTTACAGCTGCTCCCCAACCCTCGCATTGCCACTTGAGCTCCACTTCCTGTCAGATCAGCGGCAGCATTACATTCTCATAGGAGCATGAACCTATTATGAACTGTGCATGCGAGGGATCTAGGTTGTGCACACTTCATGAGAATCTAATGCCTGATGATCTGTCACTGTCTCCCATCACCCCCAGATGGGACTATCTAGTTGCAGGAAAACAAGCTTAGGGCTCCCACTGATTCTACATTATGGCGAGTTGTATAATTATTTCATTATATATTACAATGTAATAACAGAAATAAAAATGCACACTAAATGTAATGTGCTTGGATCATCCCAAAACCATTTACCCCCACCCCATCCATGCAAAAATTGTCTTCCACAAAACCAGTCCCTGGTGCTGAAAAGGTTGGGGACCACTGAGTTAAAGTACAGACTGAAGTGGGGGGCAAGAAATAAAACTAAAAGCATTATACATTTTTGTTTGGGTAAGTGTTGACTGAAAAAAATGTACCAAAGAAATTTATTAATTAATAAACAATATAAGAGAACAAATATAGATTTAATAGAAACCAGAGGTTTGTTGAAAAATAGTGTATATAGCATAAGAAGGGAGAAGTTAAGAACCACTAATTTTAAAGATTAGCCGATAGTAATGATCTTTGCACAATTCAGAATAAGGTAAAAGATATCCACTGAAATTGGAGCCCATTAAATTTAGAATAAAAAGAAATTTTACTTACCTCAGCTAATAATAAATGTAAGGAACTCATAAGCCTAATAGTGGTAAACCTGAAGACCTAAATAAAGCCCAAAACATATTTCCATTATGAATTACAGAATGATTAAGTGAAAGTGGCGTGCCTAGAACTTTAAGGATTCCATGGACGCTAACTGTGCCCTCTAATTTTGTGCCCATCGATGTCTTTGTCATTATTTCACAAGGCAGCATATAACAACTCTGTTGGTTAGAAAGTCCTTCTTAAATTTCAGCTAAAAACTGGTTACTTCCATCCTACCTTACAAACACACAGGAGAAAATCCGTTTAAAAAATTAAACCGGCCAGATGCAGTGGCTCATGCCTATAATCCCAATGTTGCGGGACTTTCCTTTAGTTCAGCTAAAAACAGGTCCTTGTCCGTCCCATGGCCAAGAAAATTTAGGCTTGCAGACAGTTTGAACGGTGAGTGAGGCAGGGTTTTATTGGGTGTAAAGGAAGAAAAGGGGGAAACAGGAACTCTCGCAAGGACTGAGTCCCTCCGCTAGAGCGCTTCCTACCGAGCAGTTCGAATCCCAGGTTCCACACAGGAAGAGGAGAGGCCAGCCTCCTCCCTGCTGCAAACGTTGTGAACTTCCCGAGGCTCCACCTCAGAGGGAAGGCTGGTTGGAGTTTCTCCAGGGACCTTCTCCCACCTGGCTGTCTCACCAGCATTTTGGGAGGCCAAGTTGGGCGGATTGCTTGAGCCCAGGAGTTGGAGAACAGCCTGGGTGACATAGTGAAACCCCATTTCTACAAAAACTACAAAAATTAGCCAGGCATGGTGGCACCCACCTGTAGTTTCAGTTGCTCAGGAGGCTGAAGTGTGAGGATCACTTGAGCTCAGGAGGCAGAGGTTGCAGTGAGCCAAGATCACGCCACTGCACTCCAGCCTAAACAACAGAACAAGATTCTGTCTCAAAAACAAACAAACAAACAAAAAACAATAATTAAGCCCACTGATCTTTATGTGATCCAACAAATAGAGACTCAAATAGTATGGACCCCTTTGTTCAGGACACATATCTTCTATTAGTGCCCAAAAATCAAAACCCATTAACTTTATTGACAACTTACTCTTACTGAATTCTGTGTTGGATATTAATTTTTATCACCAGCATTCATTTTCACTCCCTTGTATGCCCTCTACTATATTGCTAAGCCAAAATCCAAGAAGGCTTCAAGTTCCAGAATCTTTTTCAGTAGGGTTCGAAATTAGATTATCTCCCCTTGTGGTAGGCTAAATAATATTCATCACTTCCCCCTCCAAGATATCCAGCTCCTGACCCCTGAAACCAGTTAATGTTACCTTATATGACAATAGAGGCTTTCCAGATGTTATTAAGAATATTGAGATGCCAAGATTATTCTGGATTATCCAGGTTGACCCTAGATGTAATCATAAAGGTCCTTATGAAATGGAGTCAGAGGGAGATTTGAGATAGAAGAAGGCAGTGTGATGATGGGAACAGGAAAAGGAAGACGGTGATGTGGTGCAAGACTGTGAGCAAGGAATGGGGATATTTTCTAGAAACTGGAAAAGGTAAGGAAATGGATTTGCCTCTGGAATCTCTGAAGAAGGCATGGCCCTACCAAGACCTTGATTTTAGCCAAGTGAAACCCATTTCAGACTTCTGGCCTCCAGAACTGTGAGGGAATAATGTATATTGTTTGACTCCACCATGTTTGTAGTAGTTTGTTACAGCAGCCACAGGAAACTAATATACCCCCTCTATGTGAGGAGCTTTCACATGAAATTTGGAAGATGGAAGATAATCCAAGCCATTATTATTGTAGCAGTAAAGTGCAGGCACAGGGGACTTAACAGTAGCTTCCATGATTTCTCCCATGACTCAGCTCATTTCATAATGAAGGTAACTGAATGCGTTGGCAGTGGGTATATGTAATTTTTGAAAAATTCTAATTTCCTGAAATCTAGAGACAGCTTTCCATAACTTTTAACACACCTCCAGCTCTTCCAGCTGATTTTAAGCTTCTGAATTTAAACCACTCTTGTTTGAAACATCTAAAGTACTTTCTGTTTTCTGGACTAACCTTGACTAATAACATCCACAATCTAAAAAGCCAGTGGCTTAATTATAATGAATATAAAATATTTCCATTCCAAAAGCTTAGTAAGTTCCTCATTTCTTTAATTAGGAGTCATGGAAGAGTTAAATATTTTCCAAAGCAATATAATTAAATGTGCATCAAGAGAAAAGTGTAACACTTAATATTTACTTACTCCCTCATTCATTCAACAAATATTTATTGAGCACCAATTTTGTGGGAGTTGCAATACACAATATGAGAACTATAATAATAAGAAAGATAAATGTGATTCCCACCAACACAGAGTGATAGTAAGAGGGTAAGAAAGGCAAATACATGGGCAATTAAATCTAGAGTATGACATTCTATGAAAGAGTAAGTAATAGGTGCTAAGGAAGTACACCAACATAGCAGGATCAGGAAATACTTCCTGAAGGAAGTTACATCTACGCTAAATTCAAAGGTATAACAGATTTTATGAAGGATAAAATATAGAGAGAAGAAAAAATTATCATTTTCTCCCCAACTCACCACATCTGCCATTTGTCCATCCACCTATACCTGTGAATTCCAACATGACTCAAGTCATCTCCCTTTTTTTTCTGACTGTACTTATACATAGTAAATTATGCAGCAAGCAAAAGAAAATATTATTGAAATGCAATGAATATTTCCTCCAGTTATGAGTTCCTGAAATAAAGATCCAGAAAGCAGGGACAGTGATTTAAAGGGACAGTCAGGCATAAAGCAGGCTAAAATGTGGAAAATAGTTCTTGCTGCTGCTGCTATTACTGTTGTTGTTTAAAATGTCTTGTTAGTCAGCACAGGATGTTAAATATTTCTGAAACCAAATATCTATTCAGAATTCTGCAATTTACCACAGTCTCTGACCCTCCCTATTGTTTAGACTGAGTACTTTGCACATCTACAGTTATCAGGCCACTCAAAGAATTTCCTTATGAATCTTACCATTAAGGAAAGGGGACACAGACTAAAGTCATAATAACCTGGGTTTCTATCTCAGTTCAACACTTACTGCATGTGTAATCTTGAACAAAGTATTCAAATTACCTGAGTCTTTCTTTAACTGAACATTGAATTGATCTCTGCCTTGCACAGAAATAATGCCTGTGAAATGTCCAGCTTGATAACTGGCCTGCCCTTTCTTTTCTTTTTTTTTCTTTATTTCTTTTCTCCTTCCTTTCACTTTTTTTAAAAGATAATGCAATATGTAATTATTATTATCTAAACATCTTAGATATAGATTAAAACACTTTCTCAACTCGAATATGAACCTATTATTAGCACAGTCTCAAGAGGTTAAAGTTGAAATAATCTGTCAAACGGATCAAATAAGTGGGCACCATCCGGCCCCTATTTCCCCTTCTTCCACCACTATAGAAAAGTCTTCTTATGTAACATTTTCCTCTTTTTCAAATTTCCAGTGATGACTGGAAAAAATTCTTCCTGGTTAGATTAGAAAACCCAATTTTCTAATGTGCTATTGCCCACTTCAAGTATTAAGTGAAGCTCCAAATAATGATAGCATTATATTAAAGTAATAGACAAAATAGTCTATATCATACAAAACAAAAATAAGAATTAATTTTCAAAGAAAAATATTTTAAGTGATATTAGTTCTTTTATTCTTATTGTCTACTGGGAATGAAAAGAACTGCTTTTAAATCATCGGACAGATTGGCCCCAGAGCAAGCAGTAAGAGCTAATTCAATAAAGCCTTGAAAAATTTCAAGGAACTGAGCAAACATGTCTAATAAAAGGAACATAGATCCATAAAGAAAGAGAGAGAGGAGGAGGAGTAATAGAAGGAGAAGGACACTAGATCACACACACCAAGAAAGATTATATGGTGTAGTGAATGAAACACTGCATTGAATACAGGAATCAGTGGGTTCATTTATTGTGTGACATTGAAGGAGCAATGTTCATGCAAATGGTCATGTTCCAGGGTTTAAAAAGTAGAGCTCAGTATGGATGAGTCATCAAGAAATGTGTGGAGTACTCTGTGATTTTATTGATACTATAGAAAAAGGCATAATCTTCATTTTCATAATCTTTCCTACTTCAGAAGCCCTTTTCTTTATCACCCTAGATTATGAGAATCCAGAGGGCAAGAATTACCCCATTTAAAATTTTGTGCCCTGACAGATTTCCTAGAAGAATATTTCAAACAAAACATGTGTATGTAAAATGGATTACAATCAAAACCCAGAGACAACTGAATGACTCCTAGCACACCATCATTGAGTGACATAAAGTTTTATCAATTGTCCATGTATGTAAAGCTTAATTGTATAGTGAAAATAAATAATAAACATCATAGCTCTTCAGTATTATGGTACTTCTTCTATGTGAGGCTGGGGAAAATGGCAACTTGTTGAGTCCTTCAAAAGCAACAATTTCTACTAAGTTAACATGAGACATTCACCTTCTGAAATAGCTAGAAGTCCTGAATGGACAATCAGCACCCTTTTCCCTACATTAGCATCATTAAATCTTTCAGATTCAGGAAATAAGGTATATGTGCCAGATTTGCAGACAATTTTGACACTTCAGTCTACCAAAAAAATATAAACTATTTTTAAAATACATGTGATTTTTAGGTCAGTAAAACTACTTTGTATGATACTGTAATCATGAATATGTCATTATAAATCTGTCCAAACCCACAGAATGTACTACATCTGCAGTGAACCCTAATGTAAACTGTGTATTCTGGATGATAATGATGTATCAATGTAGGTTTATCAGTTGTAACAGATGTACCACTCTAGTGGGGAATATGATAAGGGGAGATGCTATACATGTATAGGAACAGTGAGTACATGGGAAATCTCTATACCTTCGGCTAAATTTTGCTATCTATCTAAAACTACTCTAAAAAATAAAGTCTATTTTAAAAAATACACGGAAACATAACTCTAGTCAAATTGTGTGGTTAGGTTTTTTATTGTTTGTTGTTTTTATTAATGTGACTATTTCTTTCCCTATAGCAAGAATTTCTTGAGAGCAGAGACTTTGATATATTCATCTTTGTTTTTGCAACTCCTGTCATGATGCCTAGCATATAGAAGATATTTGATATACATTAGATGGATGGATGAGTAAGATGAATGGATAAGTAGTTATTCATGGATGAATTGTGGCAATGACAGGATATTTAGAAATATCCTGTAATTAAGAGAAATGGCTTATGTTGTTAAGTTCCCCCAGCAAACTTTCTTGCTTGAAGCATGGAAATTCCTAAGGTATTTTCTTTATTGGAGGATGGAGGGTTTTCTGATGTCCAGACTAACCCACAGAATGCCTTAGAGCCAGTGTATGAACTTAAATACTAGGACCTAAGGCACCAAGAAGAAAGACTAGAATATAGTGAGAGTGTACAGTCTGTGCAGATGAACAGAAAAGTAGAAGAGCAATTTTATCAAGGTTAAGGGCAAAATAATACAAATTAAAAGTCCAAGGCATAAATAAAAACATTCGTACCTCTGAGTTGGGGCACCGCTGCCACCCAAGGCGCCTTTATTAAAACTCTTCAAGACCATTGCATCACATGAAAAAGCACTAGATTACTTAGGTTGACTAATTATCCTTATGTTGGAGATAACATGGTTTAGGTGTCATATGTTAAAAGAGGTAGTCTCATTACAGCTTGGAAAAATTCTTTCTAGAAAAACTAAGTTGGCCAGGCATGGTAGCTCATGCCTGAGATTCCAGCTACTCAGAAGGCTCGAGGTGGAAGGAGTGCTTGAGCCCAGGAGTTTGAGGGTATAGTAACTTACGAACACACCACTGCACTCCAGCCTGGGACAGAGTAAGCCTCCAACTCTTAATAAGTAAATAAATAAATTAGCAGAAAACTAAATGTTAAAAATTTCATGTAAAAAGAGAACATCTATAATTACATTGGCCATTTAGATCTGATTTATCGAAATGGAAACAACATCAAAATTTAGGCTTTTTAAGCATAAAATTAACGAATTTTATTAATACTGAAGGAGTGACTGGAGGTCTTCCCAGAGGTATGTCTAAATATTTACTGTCACATGTTCAAAAGTGTATATGTCACTTAGATCCATCTTGCTTAATATTTCTAACTAATTATGGTTACATACCAGAGATGAAGGAAGAAAATTATTCTAAAGAGCTAATCAAAATATAAAAGCCACATGTCATTAAAAATGCAAAATTAACACATAAATAGCTATTCTTAGAGTTGGAAAAAATTGTTCTAAAGGTAGTGATTTGCTTTACATTTCCAACAAATATTACCATGACCATAGGAAACTCAATAAAGAAATGTCTGTGACTCTTAACAGTAAAAGCAAAACCATGGTTTTCTTCCTCAGTTGTAATGAATTGCAGATTATTCTACAGTTATTGGAATGAATTGTTTTCTTACTAATGCAAAGTGGGGTTTTCTCTCTTGAGAATACTGCTATTCCATCCAGAAACTTTTTCAGGAGCTCATCATTGTTTGTTTGCTTATTTGTTACAAAGACACATTTTTAAGAATTATTTTCTCTTAGAATTGAACATAATCACTTTTCCTTTTATTTCCATGGTTGAAATATGTCTTTCTGTTGGCAAACGTGGCTCAGGAAAATGACTGACCTTTTCAAACAAAATGTATAATTTAAGAAATGTAAAACTTAACATTCTTTAGTAATCCAATATTAAAATACATTTAAGTTGATCTATAAAATGCTATGATTTCAACTATTCTTTTTTGAATCTGCAATAGAAAGACATTAACAATGCGTGTGGTTTAGAAAAATTCATTTATATAGCCGTTTGCCATGTCATGATGTATTTTAAACAAAAGAGGTACAGACAAAGGTATTGATTTTAGGGACTTAACTAAATAAATAGTATGTAAATTGTGTCTGTTTCTATAAAATTAGATCAGAACACACATATTACACTGCCTTTTTCTATAAGAATGACAGCTATTGAATTTGGCAGACATTGGAATTTGGTTAAAGAGTTACAGACCTTTGATCTTTGGTTTACAATTAAATGAAACCATTGTAAAAGGACAGTAGTGGGCCAGCCAATTTCTCAAGCACACTGCAGCAGCCAGGAGGCGTTATCGCTTAGTGCTGTCAAAAAATTCACTCTGCATTTGGTTTTGTTTCTAAGTCTCATGTCTTCTGGTAGATGATGAAGATGGTGATGATGCCCTCATTAAAATACACAGTAACATATCAAGAACACACTTTGCTGTTTTTCTCTGTTAGTTTCAACCATATATCAATGCTGATCTACTCTACTTCTAAGTAATGTTATCATACCATGGGAAGTACTTGGCTCTTTTATATACATTTTTCTCAAGAAAATGTTTTATTTTCTTGAGAATATTTTTATTTTTAGAGGGAGTAGAGAAAAAAACTAAATCTCAGCTTCAAATTTGTTAGAGTTTTAAGGAAAATAAATGCACAGAAACACAGAAGGAACTTACAGTTAATATTGCTCTCATTACTTCCTAATTGTAGGAATTTTTGTTTCAGTTTTGGTTTTTCCTTTTTTTTTTTTTTTTTGGATAACATTTTCTTAATCAACCTGGCCACTAATAAATTGACTTTCACAGCCCTACCCAAGGGAACTATATACCCTTCAAGTCTTTGCTTTTTAAACTAAATTCTGCAAGTTACAAATAATGCTATTATACCATAATGACAACACTTGACCACCATTTTTTAAAAGACATTTATTGATAACCTTTTGAATAAGAAGAATGCTTGATCACCAAGTTTCCTATTAATGCACATTCTTCTCATATAATTTTACTAATTCTAACAAGAAGTGTCCTAATAAACTTACAATAAACAGTGACTTAGCAAGTTTTCTTAATCTAAAATTATATATTCACAGCAACAAATAGGCAAGTTAGATCTTTCTTAGGGCTTTTTATCCAGCCCACTAGATCTGTGTTCTTTTTTTAAAAAAAAACTTCTTTGTTATGTCATTCTGCAGACAGAGCTCAGGCTGTTTCCTGTCACCCACTGGAGCAAACTGCTCAACAGAAAGCACAGTTGGACAGCCCTTAATTAGTGCTACTTGGGATAGTCAGTGTGTGAGCCTGTGTCAGCATCTCACTTAAACAGGAATAGAGCAGTGAGGATCAGCTGACAGTTTGAAATGCAAGACACCAGGTCTTTCACTTCCACCTACAGTCATACAATGCATGCTGCATGCCCACAAATGTTATGAGAAATGTTGGAAATTATGTTCTTTATGTAAATTGAAGTCAAATTATTCCATCACGTTTTACAGGGTGTTTATTTCTTTAAGTTATCCAAGTACATGCTCTCCAATCAAAATCTAATGTGCAAAAGTAAATAAAATGAATCTTGAAATTACTTATCTGACAATTAATTTTTTTAATTCACTAGACCTGGGGTAATTTTTAACATTTTCAAAAGAACAGAGAATAGCACTTTATAATTCACTAAAAAGAGCAATAGAATGTATTTTACTTAAATTCAAATGAACTTGTATTTTGAATTACTAAAATGATCACTGATTATTATGATATTAAAAACACATATGTAACTTTAAAAACAGAAACAAAATTATATCCAGTGGACTACATAACCAGCGTACTTCTTAGCCAAAATCTGAGTTGGGGGAGATGCCTTACACACGTAAACTTTTTATAGCTCATGAACATAAAGAAAGATTTACAACTTGATAAATCTCTTGTAAGGTGAAAACTTGAACATGGAACTCTATCACCTACTTGCCCCCTAAAGTTAAGGCGACTAGCTATTGTGATATCGTATTACAATTCTATCTCTATGGCCAAAAATAAAATTAGATGCAGAGTTTGGTTCAGCTCTGAGAGGGTGGGATTTTCTTTGTTATACAGCAGACACTGTTTAGTCTGGGTGGAAAACGTGATCAATATATTCTAAACCTGTAACTTACTATAAACATAACCTCCCTCCAACGTATTTTAATATTTTTCTAGTAGCTAATAGAGTCCCTTTGGGTTAAATGTGAAAGGAGCCTACAATGTGTATTTTCAGAGAGTAAACAGCCACCACTTTTTTTTTCACCTATCTGGAAAGTAGCTATTGTACTTCATATGGTAGACATTTTTAGAAACAGTTTTTGCTTTTTGTTGTTGCAGTTCAGAGGTAGGATGGCTTTCAGGGCTGGTGGCAGTACAGGCTTCTTTATAAGGATGAATGAAGATGAAAAGCAAGACAAATAGAAGCGAATGAGACACTGCTTTATGTGATTCATGATAGCTTGCCGTAAGCCTGTTAGCCTCTGCCTGGCTCTTCTCTCTGAGAGAATAATGGATAGTTACAATGTGTATAGTGACATTGTCAAACCATCAGGAATTGCTGATTATAGTGCTAAATATTGATCTCTGCTTCATATGTGTCAAAATTCTTTCTTCCCTTAATTAGAACTTCCCTAAGCACCATACAAGAACAAACTGAATATATCAGATCTCTGTGAAAGGGAGTGTGATACTAGAATATAATTGTGACCTCTTGTCTTCTCCTTTTCTCTTGAGTTCTGAGATGACTTCGGCTGTCTCTCCTGCCCTTCCCAGTACATGTGATCATCATGCTCATTTTTCCCAATCTAACCATAGGAAGATTTCTCCAAGCTTCTGCTTTTCATCATTCTGAACCACAAGGGTAGTAGTCAGATGGCAGTGAGACTTAAAGTGCCAGAAGGTGCCTTTTTCTATTTGTTTGTTTCATGGTACACCGCACCAGGCAATGACCTGTGGCAACAATGTCATACAAAACGGAGACAGGTTCACCCAATCAAAGGGAGGTTTAAAATTAATACAGATCCCTTCGTTGCTTCATGCGAGATCTGGGAAGGGCAATTTCAGGGTGCCATAGGCTTCTTGGTTATCAGTCACATTCACTTAAAAGATATTTTTAAGCTACTTTTGTTATGAAAATTATCCCTTTTTTGTTCCAAATTGCACCATCAACTGAAGCAGGGTAAAGCTCCCTACTAACTTGATATTACCATTCAATCAACTTCCATATTCTGTACTCTAGCAGTAATGTAATATAGTGAAAGGTTGTGATATATGGTTTCAATTTGCACCGCAAACTGAGCACTTAACTCATTTATCTTAGTTTACCGTAATATATTGTTATTTTTTAATCATGACACCATGGTACATTTGCCTTTAGTTTGATGTGCTTGATAAAATCAATATTTCATTAAAAGGTTTTTAAAAATTGTTTGTTTCAAACACGGAACCAGACCAATTGGTAGCCAGTTACTTAGCAGCAACCTCTTTCCTGGCTCTTCACGTAAATGTCTCCATGAGCCCCTGCCACCCCCACAAACACCTTCTGTGTGGGATCTTGGTCGGCAGTTACCTCCCTGGCAAATTCACAAGGTCCTTACTCACAATACATGGTTAAGAGGGGCTATAAATAGCAAATTTCAATTTTGACCTTTTCATGATAAATCTGGAAGAGGATGATGAAGGGAGGGTTACTAAGCCTACCCACTTTTTCTTTAAACAATTCAGATAAGATTCTCTGTCCCCATATAGAGAAAGCACCAAGCAACCTGCATGAATGTAGGTTTCTTCCTTTAGCTGCCAAGTAACTGAGTTACATTGCACTACAGGTGATCTGTGTCAGTGGTAATGATTAGGTTAGCAAAGTGCAGAGAACTAAACTTTAAATTGGGCTAAAAAGCCTCAGACTGCAATGGGGAGGAGCCAGCATTTTCAACATTCTGGTGCCCAATCATGAATCTGAATGCTTGTTTTAATGTGGCATAGTTTGCAAGTGGAGCTCCTTACAAGAGAAATGTTAACTAATGGCAACCATCCACTTCTTCTTCCCTAGCTTAGGGATGTAAGAAGAAAAATGATCATTGGGTTGTCTGGTTAAAGCACACATTACCCATTTTCTTGAAGCTGTTCAGCTCACAGAAATAACACTTTTGCGTGTTTTCTCCTCCATGTTACACATAAAATATATATTTATCACTATAAATCAATATCTAGGTATCTTCACAGGCTACATTATGCCCTGTGGAGATAAATATAGAATATGATAACTGAAGCCACTATAATGTCTCTGAATAGATATTTAGCTATTATATAGATACAAGGAATATGATGAAACAGAAATTTATATTTGTAGATTTAAATAAGTTTGTTCTATAAGAATAAAGAAGAAAATAATCATTGATATCACTATAAATATTTAATTATGTTCATTCTACTTTAAGGTAACAAATTTTATAACTATACAAGAATTGATGACTAAGATGAGTACATTGACAACTACGTATAGAGCTTTTCATCAAAAACAATTACAAGTTGAAATGATTAAATCGTTTTTTTTCGGTCATAATTAGATGGAGCAGGATTTATAAGGGCAGGTATACATAATACTTTATTAGCCAATAGCATCTAAAGACCTATAGCTTTTCTTTAATACCATCATATTGTATATTACCTAAAATCTGGAATAAATTAGTCATTCTATCTATAAGAAATATTCATGACAGTTCACAGCTAAGCCAGATAGGATATGATCAATAAAAAGCCTACTAGTCTTTAGTACTTATGTCCTCCCCATGAATCTTAACCAAAAGAAGTAATAAATAAGTGGCACATATGAATAGTACCTTTAAATAAGCAAGTGAGCCTTCTTCAAGCAACAAGCAACATTTTCTGGATATCAAAAATAATAACTGGTTTTGCAGCAATGCAGCATGGAAACACAAGGGTATAAGATATACTGTACTTTAAGCTCTGTTTGATGAATCTGAGCACAGTTCCTGGGGGATAGATTACTTTAAACCATGCTCTTTTACTTTCTAATCCTGACTTGATTTGATTTGTACTTTAATACAGCTGCCTGGCAATTCAACAGCAAATAGAGACTATTTATGTAATCAGATTGTAAGTAGTGGGACAAGAAGAAACTCTCTAGAACCTTTTTGGAAAATAGTTTGTTGTACTTTTTATTTATTGAACAGCAGGGCTCCGGGCTTTCCAGTGCTCATTATAATTGGTTTTCTGCTTGAACTTTCAAAAACTGTCATGTCAATACTCAAACAGAATTTTTTTGCTTACTATATGGCTATGGGCTCTATTTTCTCATGTGCAACTTGACAAAGTTCTTGTAATACCTTAGAGGCAAAGTTCTAGAGTTTCTTTTGCTATTTAAGAACACTGGGAATCAGAGGTCTTTAGTGTATTCCACACTTGTGTTCTCCTTTTGCAATTAAATGCCTTAAACTAAGATATTGTTTCCTTTTATGACTACCCCTGCCTATTCATAAGCCTCTACTATTCTGTGGGAGGAGTTTGCTTCTGTCATACCATCCAACAATATGCTCTTAATTCCACTTATAAGAAAGATGATTTTTCCACCAATATGTTTATAATCATATTTATATTCCAATTGCTATTTGACAAAGAATTCCCCCTTTCTCTAAAGGTTTATTTCCTATACCACTACCAAAAGTACAAATGTGAATTTTATATTCCTCAACCCTTTCCTCTCAGGAACCCTAAAAATCCAACCAACCACTTATGCACAACAAGAACCTCAAATGGATTTAAGACAAAGTAAAACATTTGTCCAAAATGGAAATGAATTACTAAAGTCTAGCCCTAGAATAACCTGTTTTGAGTAATATTAATATTTACATTTTCAAAGAAGTTAGCCCTATCATATTCTATTTTTTAACTAGCTAGAGATCACTTTTGCATTGTATGATTATAATAATTTTCTATGTGGCCAGGACAGAGATAGTTTTAAGGAAAAAGATTTGTGGTAGAAATTATGCTCTATATTTCATTTTATTTCCTATTTTTTATTTCTACCTGTTTAATCATCTCTTAGGAACTATACAAAGTGTGAATATTTTCTCTATACGTTAAAATCACACTACTTAAAATAAATTTTAAAAGACCATTAAATAACTTCAAAATTTTAATAACAACTGTTAAGGTATAACAGCAGCCTTTCCTTCAACTGGACAATAGAGTATATAGATTCTATGGAATTTAGATAAAAGTTGACCTATTTCAATTTTGTTATTGGTTATTTAGTTGTTCTTCTTTAAAGATTATTAAAGGATGACATTGTTCTATTAAACTAAAACCTTGCATTTGATTTAGTTCCATTTCACTACCATCCTAATTTTGTTGTTGTGGTGGTTAAAACTGTAATTATAAAGTTGAAACCATTTTCTCTCAAAACCAACCCAGGTGCTGTATTTTCCAAATCCAAGTGTTCACTGACAAAGCAGCCATCCAGAAGCACAAGCTTGACTTTAAATTCAATCAAAGGAATGCATCTGAAAAAAAAATATGCATCATTGAAATGTTGTAGCTGCTGATCAAATTTACAATCATATTCTCAAGTACGATGCTTATGAAACTGGCTCGATGATACAAGCTGCAAGTTACTTTTAGAGCACATTTGTGCTCTTTTAACACTTGCTTGGAAAAAAAAGTCGGCACCTCCAGGGCTAGGTAGATCCTTATGCAATACGGAATGCAGTATATAGGTTCTGTCTATTACCGTGCATTTAGAACTTTTCATATTCAGCATCCAGAAAATGATTTCCAAAACATTGGTGGGAATGAGGGTGTAACTAAAAATAAAAAGATAGTGCAACATAATGAGAATGTGAATAGAAATGAAAAATATTTTAGATGTTCAAGAAAGAAAAAATATCTGACAATGCTGACTCGAAACAATAATATAAGTGGAGGCTCTTGCTGGACTCTATTATTTATATCAAATATTTAACTGGAGTGGATTTGTACATTTATACAATCATATCTGTGAAGATAGTCATGTTTAACCACAGTATGACTTACAGCTTGATCCTGGAAATATAAGTTTGCCATGCTATAGTACAGGTTTAAGGTGACCATCAGAATCAAATAAAAATATGAAATCCATTAAATTCTTAGAGTAAAACTCATTCTCTGGATCTCAAATAGCTAACTGCTTGTGTTTGGCAGCTTTTTGCTTTCATAATTTTATGTCTATGCTGTTCTTTGTGTGAGTAAATATAAAATTTCTGTTATATGCAAACTAAAAAATCTATCTAAATTTTCTGGAAAAAAATACATTGAAAGATATATGTACATATGTATACATATATATCCATTTATACATACATCAACTAACAAATCTGTTTTGCTGATTAGAAGAAAAAAATCATCTTATGTTTTTCTTATGGAATATGCTTATCTATTTTAAGGAGCTGTATTATGGTATTATCTATTCTATTATCTATTGTGTTATCAGACTGAGGGTACAGACTAGTGTGTTTGTTTCATCACATAAAACAACTGGCTAAAATTTACTGCCCCTGTACACTAAACTCAGAAGACAGATCTGATTCTGTGGCTTTAGCTCCCAAAACTGCATCAAGGCTACTCTTTTAGTCAACTTGAAAATTTATATACTATACGCTAACCCTCCTTTAATATCCTCACTCTCTTTCCTCTGGGCATTTATTGCTGTTCTTTCTAGTTCAGTAACCAGTGAGCAGAAGGTTCATTAAAACTAATTGAATTGGAAACTTGTCTGCCCTGGGAAATGTTAACTCTTTGTTGTTATCTGTAGGAAATTCCTTTTGTTATGTTCCTTTGAATTGAATTATTGGATCTTAATGTTACAAACACTGTGTTAAAAGCAATTTCCATCTTTCTTATGGTCTAGACAGCAAGTTTCAGAAAAATGTCCTTATATCGAATCAAATTTTACCAAAATAAAGCAGTATTTTATTCAATGACGTAAACGGCAATATCGCACAGTGTTCAAAAACCGGAACGATGTTGCCCTGTTAACTCTTATAGTGCTTCTAGTCACTGCTACACTGACTGGAAATTTAAAAAAAGAAGAGATTTCTATTATGGCTCATTTTCACTTGGTAAAACACATAACACAACTGCAGGTTAGCAAGTCAATGTTGGTGAAATATGGTTTATCAAAAAACATTAACCCCACCATTGCAGCCATTCTACCCATTTGAACAAATGTCAAAATGAAAAGATTATAATTATTCTTAATGATGTAGGGACCCTCATTTTAGCTTGTCATTTGTAATCATTTGGAAATTGTGCTGAAAAATACATTTGAAATAAGGATTTAAGAGGCTGTGAGTTTTGGAATTGTTTAGAGCAGGGAAATATTGACAAAATTGGGAACATTTGATAATAGTCACAGTAGTAGTTTTTTGCCAGCTTTAAAAATCAATTGAAAATAACAGGCAACCCACTGTTGCTAATAAAAGTAAATATTTATGACTGATTTGACTGTGCTTCAATACCAGTCAATCACTTTCTAAAGGATCTTTGCAATTCATTAACCTCTTTTTACTGGTCTTGTCCCTGTTGGTATTAGCCATTAAAAAAGAATAAGGGAGAGGGTTTTGATTTTTCTGTTCTCATCATTCACAGCTTATTTGTTCTTTCCCTTCATTCCCATACATCGCCACTAAATTGATTGTCTGTTTAGTCATATGAATGATAAAGTAGCAGTGCCAGCAAGATTGAAAGCCTCCATTAATTTCTGAGGAAGGTGAGTTCCTCCGCTTCAACCACAACCTACAACAAAGATACTTCTCATACTGTCTTCCATCACTAGTAATTCTTCTTGTGATAGAGTCCACATAACTGTGCGACTTCCCTTTTAAACCTCTCCCTGGGTGAACTTTAAGAAAATAGATATTTATTAATATCATCTCAAAATTATCTGCCTTTCCATGCTTCCAGACTGGCCACAATCTTCATGCACAAAAGAACAGCCAAAAGTTTTTATTTAAAAGACATTGAAAACAATGCTTATTATGTTTTTTCATAATATGTTACAAAATTTCACTCATTCAGTAATCAGCCCACTCAAAGGTAAATCTTTCATGCAGTGAGAGACATCATCTTTTATTAAAAGAGCTTTGTAGAGAACTTCTATAACACAGTTTTAGATTTCTGAGACCCGTGTTTAAAAATAAAAGCACTACACCTTACTGGTGTTTCTTTTTTACTTCTTAAAATATTCATAAAATCATAACCATCTAAAATTATCTACAGCAACTGTGTTTCCTTACAGAGGTAGTCTGTGATGTATTACAGTGGTACTTTAAGTTGCTTTAATTGCCGTTGTAAGTACATATTTTGTCACTGAATAACAGACTGAACAGACGTGTAAAACCTGCATAACTTACCAGTGTGTGTAAGTTAAAGCCACCTCTAGGCAGACTTAAATTATAACCCTCTATGGAGATGGATTTTTTTAACTCTTTCAATGGTACATGTGTTTTATTTCTCCCATATTCTCATGTTTATAATAAGAGGTAACATTTATTGAGCTATAAAGGCTTGCTGTATAGTAGGCACTGTGTTTTTAAAAGAAAGAAATTCTAACATAAATTGTCTTATTTAATCATCTCATTGACTCTATGGGAGAAGTCCTATTATAACTGCAATTTCTCAAATGAGGAAACTGAGGCTGCAAGAGGTTAAATAATGTGTCCAAGATCACACTCATGTTAAGCAGTAAAAACTGAATTTGCACAACAGTCTGAAGCCAGAGCCCATGTTCTCAATGCATTACCTCAGCTCTGTTGGCTCATCCAGCACAGTCTACCTTGTGAGAAATACTTGTAAATTGGCCTGTCTATTCCTCACCCCAGATTATAACATCCCACAAGGGCCGAGGCATCATATTCCCCTCCTTTGAACCCCAATTATGCCTTAGCTTGACACTTTGCATACAGTGAGTGTCTTTTTTAATTGCCAGAGCATGCGTACTACACAGGGACAAATTCTAACAATTTAGATTTCTTCAGTTTCTTCCTTTGTAATGGCTCCAGGCACTATCCAAAAAAACAGTAGTACAGAGGCTAGTTTCAAACACAACTCCCCATGTACACACACACAAACACAAAGACGGCACAGGAGGGAAGTGATGAATGTGGCACAGACAACAGTAAAGAAATACCAGCAATTTGAAGCCCTGTCCCTGAATCCTACTCCTGTTGCCTTCATATCGAGAGTTCCAAGTGTTGGCCTGCAGTTAAGTTCTGAGCTAAAGGTACTAGTGTCTCTTCATAAAAAGTAAAAAGTCTAAGATATTGTTTCATCTACACTGGTATCTTGGACTACCATTCAGACCCAGATTCTGAGAGCCTCATTATCAGCCTTTCTATAAAGGGTCAGCGTGTTGAAATGAGTTAGAAATGGGACCATGTCCAGTTTTTCTAATCGTAGGTGGTAGACTTCAGTTCTTGGCAGTCCCAGGTTTGGAAATCTCTTTTCCATGGATCGATATTTAAATTCCCCTTAGTAGAGAAGACTAATCTTCTGTTGTTCTCAACAATGGATGCACATAGGACCTTGTCTTTTTGTGGTTCCAATAGAGTTGCAAGTTCTCACGTGCAGCAGCTTATTCACAGTTTTGGACCTAGCATAGGATCCATACACATTATAAGATACTGGAGAAAAAGATGACCGCAGGGAGAGTAACATGAATATCAGTAACACAAGCATATCCCACTAGTGGGAGCAATGGAAAGAGGGGAGATTCTTTCTTCACAGATAATTGATCTACAGTTCATGGCTTTTGACAGGCTTTCTTTTTTTTCTCATTGTATGCACTTATTTTTTCAAATATTATTTGTTCCATAACAAAGAAATATTACTTCCTTAGAGACAGGTTTTGAAAATGGGTACTGAATTTCTCAAAGGATGAAAATGACGGAGGGAGGCACAGCAAGAAGAAAAAGGTTCTGCCCTTGTAGTTTCATCTTCTAAACCATGGTGCTTGGGAAAGAGAAGAGTGCGCTAAGAGGAATACAACAAAGGCAAGAGATCTGAAAATTCTGGTTCTGAATTAGGGCCTATAATAATAACCAATTGCTTATATGCCATTTTCTTTTTTTAGAAAAAGAGTATCAAAAATGACTGTAAAACAATCATTAAATTATAAAGAATCATATACACTGCTGACAAATTTATTATTTCCTATATAGTTAAATTATTATTTCTCATTAAGAATGTGTTTTTAATTATTTATAGAAAATATTTTGATGTTTATTTTAAGAAAATTAATATTTGACACCTAAAGGAAGGTGTAACAAGCTTACAAAAGCTATACCTACTAATATTTTATTGGGAAATATATTCATAGCTGCACAATTTATCTAAAATGTTAATTTTTTCCAAACTAGAAATCAATCGTAACTCTCTATTTGACAAAGTTCACAAAGTAAACTTGAGGAGAGTAATTCAGCAGGTAGCAAAATCTTTGCATTAGGGACAAAGACAAAGGGAAAGAAAGCCCAAAGCAGTGATGCAAATATATTGGTGACAAAAGATTTCATTAAGGTTGCCTATTCATATGATTTCCTGTGTTAATGGCTATACAGAAAAGCTGGAGTTCCTTGGCAAGTTCAAACACCCTGAGAACAGTTTTGCATCACGTAGGATTACAAAAATTGTTGAGGTCATGGTAACAGCTGCCTTGAGCAAGATTTCTAACACTTCAGGGTTCCTAGGCCAGATGCTTCTGCCTTCTTGACCCCAAGAACACTATCCACATGCTTCTCTCAAGAAGCAAGTAACCTTGATTTTCACACGAGTCCACTTACACTTACCTTCATGCTCTACAGTATTTGAATCACTAAAGTCTCATTAATGTTGGCTTGCAAACTGATTATGTACTTAGCCTTTCTTTTTAGATGCTTTTCCCTTTAAGTGGACGTTGATTATTTTCACAGCTTAAAATTGTTTTCAAAATAGTAGCAAATTACTCTTATATTCCAAAAGCTTTTTGTTAAGAAGTTTAAATAATGAATGATAGGTGATGATTTATATATTCAGAGATATTTAAATTATTTTAAAACACACTTGCATTGACACTTGAATATCTGAAAATGATAGGTGGTACCAAATTGCAATGTTTCTGACCTACATGGGAAACCAATTAATAATGATTCTTCCAACAACAGTAACTCTGAGGTCTTATATTGAAATCACCAAGAGGATTTAACAGCATATCCTTACGGAAGTCATCTAATCTCTTTAGATCTTAGTATTCTGCTCTGGAAATGAAAAGGTTGAATGATTTGATCTCTAAATCCCTAACAATCTCAACCATTTTGACATAAGTTTCCAGGGAGAAGGAAGGAAGACGACTTGAGCTACCAAGTGGGCAGGTAAAAAGGGAAGATTGGAAAGGTCACGGATGACAAAATTCATATTTGGTGCTAAGACTTGGCCTGGTAAGCAGTGCTGAGAACCGGTAAATGTTCTGAGCTTATCTTCAAGATTAGGAGACAGAGTCAATCAAAAGGATTAATTTTTGTAAGTTTGAAGGCCCCTAAAGAGAGGCAGGAAATTCAACTCACTGATCTCGAGACTCCCTGTTGCCCTGTGATGGTATCTGTCTCAAATGAGGGGCCAATTCCGACCTTTTGTAGGGGAATCTTCCCTGCATGCTTCTCTCCTATATCCAGACCTTTGAATTTCAGGAGAAAAGGGGCCTCTGGCCTTAAACGGGCCACCTTGAGAGTCCAGTCACAAATTTCTGCAGCATACAGCAACTTCTCACACAAAGAGTAAGCCCCTCGATTATGCCTCTTTACACATGGCAAAGGCAAACTTAGTTTGAAATTTTTACAAAAAAGTAAATGGAATCTTACTTCTTCTTAATCCCTCTTATCCCTTTCAACTAATAATACAGAAGCAAATAACTTGGAGTTTGTGAAATTCGCTCAGGAAGTAATAGAAATACAATAACTCATCAATCCTTTCATAGACACATTGGAGAAATATGTATGACCTTTGACGCCTGGGAAGATTTTTGTCAAAGGCAAGGTCATCTAGAATTTTTCTCTTAAATGTATTTCATAAAGGTAATCTTGTTCTCCCATCCCTCCCCTTAACCCGTCAGAGACTTTGCTATTTGGATCATCTTTCTCAAGTGTTTATCTCTTCCTTCGAGTTCCTAGAGAGGAAAGTATAGACACTGCAATAAAGATTCATGTTCAAGAGATTACTTCTTTAATAGACTTTGATGGGTTCTAGATTAATTACAAAGTTTTTTTTCATATTCTCTGTTACTGGGAATAATTATCGATATTATTTAAATATGAAGGTTGGAAAAATTCTAAAGCATCATAAATTGTAACCCTCAATTTCACATGAAGAGACTGAAGCTCAGAGAAGTTAACTGACATCCAAGGTTGTTAATGACAAATGATTTAATCTGTTGACTCCCAGTCTAGTGCCATTTCAATACAATAAAATGCCCACTTTAGATAAAATCATGGATTGTGAAAGCTAATTTGGATTTTGCAGGTGAACTATACCATGCTCCTCCTCTCCAGTAAGGAAGCTAAGGACTCGCTAGTGCCCAGTTTCCCTAGGAGCCCTCGTTCTCTTCCCCAGGCAAGACCCACCTAATTGAATGAGGAGATAAAGACCTTGAGTAGAAGAGGACATGTGAACTCAAGATGACCAAAGGAGACTTGCCTCATAATCTATATTAGGCCTAACGTTCCAGAAATGCATCTCCCTTTAGAGTACCTTCACTTTTAAAAGGGAATTTAATTGTGGGAATTCAAGCACAATATGGACCAATGAGGTAAAGATCTTTGAGATAAGTGATGCCTTAAGGTCTTCAAACCAGTTCATTTAAACCAGAACTTGCTCCATCTCTGTGTAAGGCCTCCCTGTGCACAATCACAACCATTTTCCCAACCCTGAGGGATGACAAAAAACAAGTCAGTATTGTCAGTGCTAATACATGAATCATGACTGCCTGCAAGTAAATGGCTAAAGACAAAACAGAATTCTTATTAGGCTATAGTAAATGCTTCCAAAGTGGAAAAATGATCTGTAGTATACAAGTGATTGTTATTCATACTTTCAGTTCAGTTTTCTCATTTTTCCTTTTGTGGCTGGTGTTACTTTCCTTCATTTGTTGAGGCAAGAAATATACATTTATTATCCATACTTCATTAAGTTCAGTGGTAGGTCCTGGAATACAACTTTGAATGAGACAGACATGATTCCTGACATATTTGTTATTATAGAAAGAGGTATTTCAGGGTGATGAGAAAGCATATTACAAGAGGATACAACTACTAAAGATTCAAAGAAGACCTCTCTGAAGAAGTAAAATTTAAACTGAAACTTAGAAAGAATTCATCAGAGTTAGCAAGTCGCCAAGCAGGAGGAAAAGTGTCCTTAGGAAATGGAACAGCATATGCAGGAGACTAGAGGCAAAAGGAAACATGGCATGTTAAAGGAACAAAAAAAGATCAGTATGATTGAAACAGCTAGAGTATTGGCTGTCTGCATGTCTTCTTTTGAAAAGTGTCTGTTCATGTCCTTTGCCCACTTTCAAATATGGTTGTTGTTTTTTTCCTGTACGTTTGTTCAAGTTCCTCATAGATGTTGGATATTAGACCTTTGTTGGATGCATAGTTTGTAAAATTTTTTCCCATTCTGTAGATTGTCTGTTTACTCTGTTGATAGTTTCTTTTGCTTACAGAAGCTCCTTAGTTTAATTATATCCCATTTGTCCATTTTTGCTTTTGCTGCAATTGCTTTTGGTGTCTTTGTCATGAAACCTTTGCCCATGTCTATGTCCTGAATGGTATTAACTACATTGTCTTCCAGGGTTTTTATAGTTTTGGGTTTTATATTTAAGTCTTTAATTCATTTTGAGTTAATTTTTGCATATGGTATAAAGAAGGGATCCAGTTTCAAACTTCTGCATACGGCTAACCAGTTATCCCAGCACCATTTATGGAACACAAAATTGCCAGTTTTTGTCAGATTTGCTGAAGATCAGATAGTTGTAGGTGTGTGGTCTTATTTCTGGGTTCTCTATTCTGTTCCATTGGTCTATGTATCTGTTTTTGTACCAGTACAATGCAGCCAACAATCATATGAAAAAAAGCTCAACATCACTGATTAGAGAAATGCAAATCAAAACCACAATGCAATACCATCTAACACCAGTCAGAATGGCTATTACTAAAAAGTCAAAAAATAACAGATACTGGTGAGGTTATGGAGGAAAAGGAATGCTTACACACTGTTAGTGGCAGTGTAAATTAGTTCGGCCATTGTGGAAGGCAGTGTGGCAATTCCTCAAAGACCTAAAGACAGAAATACCATTCGACCCACAATACCATTACTGGGTATATACCCAAAGAAATATAAATCATTCTACCATAAGGACACATGCATGCATATGTTCATTACAGCACTTCACAATAGCAAAGATATGGAATCAACCTAAATGCCCATCAATTATATGCTGGATAAAGAAAATGTGCTACAGATACACCATGGAATACTATGCAGCCCTAAAATAGAATGAGATCATGTCCTTTGCAGGGACCTGGATGGAGCTGGAGGCCATTATCCTTAGAAAACTAATGCAGGAACAGAAAACCAAATACCTCATGTCCTCACTTATAAGTGAGAGCTAAATGATGAGAACACATGGACACACAGAGGGGAACAACACACACTGGGACCTCTTGGAGGGTGGGAGAAGGGAGAAGATCAGGAAAAATAACTCACGCATACTAGGCTTAATACCTGGATAATGAAATAAACTGTACAATAAACCCCCATGACACAAGTTTACCTACGTAACAAACCTGCACATGTACCCCTGAATTTAAAAGTTAAAAAAAAAACAGTAAGAATGACAATGAAAATACCCATGAATTATAACTACCTAGGATAAATATTTCTAAAAAAGAAAGGAACCCCATTGTACAACTGGAATCAACTCTGTTGATTTTGCTTACATGAAGCTTCTAAAGGGCTTCATGGGCCAGTGTACAAATGCCAGTGCTCTCTGTGGGCACGGGTGAGTGCTCTGATGTAGCAGGGTGCAGCCCATCCCCACTTCAACTGATACCTCCTATGGGGGAGCTTGCACTGGCTCAACTTTTTCTAACCCACTGGGCAAGCTTCCACCTCTCTTCTTGCAATGGGGTCTGCTCCTCTGGTCCTCTAAGGTGGATCTTCAGCAAATTGGATCAAATCTGGCCACTTTGCCCAGACTACAGGGACCCAGAGGCACAAACCATACCTGTGCCACATGAAGCAGTCAGTTTGTGGGTGGTTCTACTTCTCTTCCTTCTGCATAACAGTTCTCTCCACCTCTCTTTTCCTTCTGCCCAAGAAGTCACAGAGGCCAAATTAGCAGAAGTCTAAATAAAGACCAGGATGCCAATTTTTGTTTCTTGCAAGCACTCCAATTTCTACAAGTAATTATATGGAAGGTCCCTCACTTAACTGGCATGAAGAATGTTTCTCTTCCCTCTCCTATGGGGAAAGAGAAAAGAAAAAAATTCCCAACTCTCTGTCTTTCCCAGATGAGATGAATTCCTTTCCACAGATTTCACCTGTCCCCTCGTTCCTGTGCACTCACGTCTCTATCTTCTTGCTTTCCCTAGCCTTTTGCTTATAAAGTAGGAAAGCAGATGAGGAGTTATACATGCACAATCCACAGAAGGGAAAGAAAACTGATTGAAGAAATACATTTCCCACTGGTCTATTACCAAAAGATGAATTTATCAAATATGTATTCTTAAATCCTGAAACTCTGCAGGAGGCAGCGCATGACAATAGGCTGCCCCTTTAAGACTTCTTGCCTCAGGGACCACAGAGATCCATGCCCAGCCATTTTAAAGCAATCTTGATTCCCGAAGATGTTGACCCCTGGAATTAGTTTCCTTTTTAACTTCCCTTTTTCTGCTCCCTCATTTGCCTCTGATGTTTCCTGACTTTGATGTGTCTTCAGGATTCCAATTCTAGTATCCACACCATTACGCTCCTGGTGTCTTCTGTCCTGACACCCTGTAATTGAACTTGGCTTAACCCTCCAACTTCTCTCCTGCCTCTCAGGCTTCATATTGATCTTTTTCCCTGGTACTGGCCCCCAGGATATCTCTGGTTTGTATCTTAGTGTTGCAGATTCCTGATATTAATCTTCGGGATTAGGACACAAGAAATTCTCTGGAATTCCCAAAATCTGTATTTTTTATAAAACTTTATGATAGAAATAAAAATGAGTGACCATAATAATAAAAGGCAAATCAATTTTCTGATAGGATTTCCCACTAGTCATTCAGAGGTTTTTCTATTTAAAAAATAACAACTTAAAAAATAAATAAAATAAAGTAAAAAATAAAAAATAACAACTTAATACGTAAGGATAAGCTCATAATTAGTTACAGTATAAAACAATATATATTATAAAGTTTAATAACATAAATAATCTCAATTTTATAAACATTAAATAATTGAAAACATTAAAAGGAAACAGTACAAAAATACCAATTAAAAATAATTTTAAAAATTAAAAAAAGGCATAAAGATTTAATATTTAGAAGTTTGTACTCCTACAATGAAATTTTAAGTACACAAAGCATTAATTGCCCTATCTGAAAGTCTTGAACCTTGTCTCATGACAAATATCCCCAATGTAAAAAACTTCTTTCATCTTGCATTGACTTGCTAAGATTGCACCCAAAAGTACTTTCAAGCGGGATGTTGGGGTACATGTTACTTCATACAAACTATTCTTTTTTTAATGGTAAAATTATTCTGTTTGCTTGATCTGATTTTGGTTTTGCTATTGAAAGTGATATTGCTTTTGCTAATTTAGATTTTTGATTGATTTTCTACTTTTTGCATGAGTATTGAATTCAATTCTTTTCTTTACATTTTTTTCTGTTAAAGCACTTACAAAGAACTGTAGCCTCTAGCGAATAATCAAATACTGGAAAACTCCACTGAACATTATTGTTTAGGATTCAAATAAGGTAATATTCGGATCTCCTAGTAAAGTTAGCAGCACTCCACAGAATCACATTTCAAAAGTTCCAATTTAAAGGGTTGTTTTTCTTCCACAACTGGCTATTTCCTGGAACACCACTCATAGGACTTGTATGAAATATACTATGAGCATGAACTTATTTGTTTTATTTGCAAGAATGGCTCAGTGTTAGCAATAGACAGGGGCATGCACACACACACACACACACACACACACACAAACACACACAAACACACACACTTACAACCAGACAACAGCTATAACTGGCTGCAAGACGTTGAATACTTCTCTCCTCCTTGCTCCTGTTCCAGCTTCCAGAAATGTTTACTTTAACCTTTGATTCTCCTGTCCGTGTTTCTTGCTCTTCCTTTTGACTTAACATCAGTGGATTCCTTCAAACAGTAACATCTCGATGGTTAAGCTTTCGTTCCCACAGGAGAATTATAATGCCTTTTCCTATTTTCCTGAATTCTCAATGGAATTTTTTTTTTTTTTGCAGAATTCAGGGTTCAGAAAACATAAATTTCCTGAGAAATGTCAAGAAGGAACTCCTGCACGGAAACATTAAGTCTCATTATAGCACAACATATAGTCAATGCATGGTTTCCCAGTAAGTAGAATTTGCTAAGCAGATATAATGTCTTATATATATACATACACACACACACATATTGACATCTACATATATACACATATGTATCTGAAAAAAAAATCCAATTTTGGACATGAAAATATATGCCTCCCAAACTTTTCCATGTCATTGGACATGTAGAAACCACTCAAATTTGTAGCACACACTGGGGCACATGGAGGAGGTGAACCTGTGGCTTCTGTCACTCCAAGCCCTGGGAGCAGAGGAGATCAAAATATCAGCAGAGCAGTCAGCTACTTCTGCAGTCTGACATGGGTGTTCTCCCATAGGGGATGAGATATGACACTGACAGGTTGAAATGAACAGACTGAGCTAGGTAGGCCTCAAACAGAACCAAGCTTGGGTCCCTAAGAAAAGGTTCCACAGCATGGGAAGGGGAAAGAGCAACGATTTCACAGGGAGCGATTCTGACCTAAACTGTCCATCTACTTACTCATCAAAATGCATATTACTCAGACATAATGAATTGCAGGGTTTTCATTTCCTTTTGGTTTTGTGGGGTTGGGGGGATGGGATTATATATAAACTTATGTTTTTGTTAATACTTTATGATGTTGGCATACTGTACCTGTATGCTCAACTGGCCAGTAGATATTGGTCAGACTTAGTTGCTAAATGGGGCAATTGAGAAATAAATGAGTTGCCTGGATCCTGGGGTTATAGAGAGATATCTGCAGATATCTGTGAATGAAGAGAAAGAGCTGAACCATGGATTCTTTGCTCTTGTCTCTCTGTTCTAACTCTCAAGCATGTTGAAGTCCAAACTGATGTCACTGTATTCCTGGGAACCTGAAGCTCAGAAGACACTTCCCTTGAAATAATCACAGACTTCTGTTTGCTGATGAACTGGCTTAACCAACTAGTCAAGTCAGCTCTTGGGCAGTATACACAGAGTCATTTCATATCCCAAGGTATGTTTTGTGGAATTAATGTCCCGGGAGCTCATAAAAATTCCTTGAGAGATGACCTACTAGCAGGGGAACCCAACTATTTAGCACCAACTTACACTCATAAAGAAAACCATTAGAAAGCTGATATTTCACCACGTAGTGGTTCTCACCTCTGGCTGTACATAAGAATTTCTGGAGAGTTTTAATACTAATACCAAGTCCGATATCCCCCCACCCCTCAGTTATTCTGATTTAATTAGTGTAGGTGGGATCACGGCATCACCATTATTTTAGAGCACTCTAAGTGATTCTATTGTAGAGCCAGGAGTAAGAACTGTCATGCTAAGACATAGGGCCTTTACAAAGAAAAGATGCTGGCTTTTCCTATTTCCTAAGTAGCTACATTTATAACAAGAGCATTCAACTTTTTGTTTGGTTCACATCAATATATTTGATAGAAGTACTGATGTGTGTGTCTAATATATCTAACCTACTGGCCGTCATTGCTTAGTTTAGGCTGTTTTAAATATGCTGAGAACACTTACATTTGCCTGTGGTTAAGCAAAATCATCAACCACAAAGCCTATTTTATATTATTAATACAGTACAGTGTTGAATATCTCATAATTTCTTGAATACTTTACCACAAATGAAAAACAGAATGGTTGTATGGGTACTGGAAGTACACAAGTATGGTTTCTACTGAATGTGTATCACTTTTGCGCTATCATGAAGTTAAAAAATCATAAGTCAAACCATCTTTGTTGGGAACACTCTGTACTTATGACATTTAGGCCTATCTGTCGATGGAAGAAAAGTCTGAGGTTTGCAGGTATGAAGCAGAGGGACACTGCAAATTTTAATATGGATAGAAAAGCTTTAGGAAAAGAATGTATAAAAGTTTTGGGTTTTTTTTTTCGTTTTGTTGTTGTTGCTGTTGTTTTGAGACAAGGTCTTGGTCTGTAGCCCAGGCTGGAGTGCAGTGGCATGAGCTCAACTTACTTCAAGCTCCACCTCCCAGGTTCAAGTGATTCTTCCACTTCAGCCTCCCGAGTAGCTGGGACTACAGGCATGCACCACCATACCTGGCTAATTTTTTGTATTTTTAGTAGAGATTAGGGTTTCGCCATGTTGACCAGGCTTGTCTTGAACTCCTGGCCTCAAGTGATCTGCCCACCTCAGCCTTCCAAAGTGCTGGGATTATAGGCACGAGCTGCTGCGCCCAGCCAAGAAGGTACAAAAGTTCTGAAATAACACTATAGGCTTAAGGAATAAGGGACCAGAAGTAGCCTGGTAGCCAGTGTATTTCTGGCTTTATACATTCCTTAGGAAAAAAAAAAACTTTATAGATGTATTTAAGTAGAATTAAGGTTTACACAAATGATTTTTTGAGAGAGAGAGTCCCTAGGACCTAAACATTCGTTCTACGGAGATAGGGTCAACACGCAGATATTTATTTAGCAGCATGGTCTGCAGAAGTAGGAGGAGGTGACCAGATGTGATGGATTATGCCTGTAATTCCAGCATTTTGGGAGGCTGAGGTAGAAGGATTACTTGAGCCCAGGAGTGTGAGACCAGCCTGGACAAAATAGCAAGACATCATCTCTCCAAAAAATAAAAAAATTAGCGAGGTACGGTGGCATGCACCTATAGTCCCAGCTACTGGGGAGGGTCAGGTGGGAAGATTAGTTGAGCCCAGGAGTTCAAGGTCACTATGATCACACCACTGCATTCCAGCCTGGATGACAGAGCAAGACCCTGTCTTTAAATAGAATAGAAAAAAAAAAAAAAAAAGAAAAGAAAAGGAGGAGTTCAGACGTACAAAAATTTAGTATTTAGTGTGAAAAGAGTGTGAGTTTGATCCTGTGAAAGAACTCAAAGAGAATCTGCAAGGGTGGTGAGGACAGAAGCAGGCAGACAGTCCAGGGCCTTGGGTTTAGTGCAGTCTGATAGGGAGGCACATACTGAGGAGGATCAAGTCCCAGATTACACAGTCCTAAGGACTCTCATCACTACAAAAGCACCAAAAATGAACTCAGGTTTTATGCAAAATATTACCTTAGAGTTGCAGAAAAGACAGGCAAGTTATGTAAATTGAAACTTTCTGCCTCAAACATGAATTTACTGAACAGTTTATTTTTGAACTTTGATGCTTAAAAAAAAAAGTCATTGCTCTTATTGAAATAACCGAACTATTTCACCTCATGTGTGATAACTCTCATTAACCCACTCTTTTGGTACATATATTACACAGTCAAGCAATTAATGTATTTTTCTAGTATCTAGCAGAATTGTAATGAAAGGGGAAAACCCAAAATATTTGAACTTGTTAATATAATTTTCCTCAATTACAGGAAATATCTGTAGAGACAAATGGAAATTGAAAAGTAGCATGTGTCTGATCTATTCCTGAGGCTGAAAAATCCTTTTAAATTTGGGTTTCCTAAGATCCTAATCTATAAAACTTTGATGATAACAAATGCTTTTCTCTTACATTGCTATTATATGTCAAAATTAATGACATATAGCTATAGTGTTCTACAAGGCTTTTAAAAATAAAATAAAATAACTAAATGTAAGATATAATCAATGTTTAAAAGTAGTATTCAATGATTCTTTTCTAGCAAACTGAAAAGAAATTTCTCCCCTACTTCCAAAACGACACACACACTCATATCCATGCACACATATACACATATATGCATATCTTTACTTGTTGAGAATTAGTCAGAAGAGGAAGAGGAAAGATAAATTTCTTTTCAGAAATTCCAACCCAAAGTTTAGCAGTGGAGATGGTCAGTCGAGTTACAAAAGCTTTAATAAAATAAAGTGTCTCAGTATTCCAATCATCACTTTATCAATCTATCTGGAAGGATGTGGAACCACTGGACTCGTAAGTTCAGAGAGTATTGAGACTTGTCACTCATCTGGTTCAAACTTACCTTGACAAAAAGAAAAATAAGGACCCTACAAAGTATCAAAGTTATGATAAATGAGAGAAATCTGTTTAATTAAAGCTTCTTTCCATTAGCAACCTGTTCTTAGTTCTTATAGACCTATGATTACCAAAATACATAGCATATTTCAGACTACATTAAGCCCATGTTGTAAACCCTTCTTTGCGTATTTTATTCTCAAACACCTGCCTGAGGAATTATGCTAGAGCAAAGTTACATTACAGAATAGAAATGCACTGGTGCCACATTTCTAAATGACACTATTTTAAAAGATGCCCTTTAATTTTATTTTGTCCATCATTAATTTTTACGGCATCTCTCTTCCAAGGGGCAAAAGTTTTCAATATTATCTCTTTTAGCCTTATGACACCGCTCATGAGTAGGAGGCTCTCACTTATTTGGAATAATAAAATATGTTTAATTCAGCTTTGCATCATGCACTAAGTCAAGAGAGTGCTTTGCACATAATCAGTAATAAACATACTTTTAAAACAACTATCATTAAGGAACATATGTGTTAGTGTAGGTTCTCCAAGAAGCAGACACCAAGAAGCAAGGATTTTATTGGGAGAATTACTTGTGACAGAACATGAAGAGGGAGCCTTCAGATCACAATGCAAGTCTGTAGTCTCCAAGTAAAAGAGAAGGAAGGTGGGGTGAAAGTGTCCTAGACTGCCGTGAAGTATAAGGAAGGTTCAAAAAGGCTGTCAAGGTGTCTTTGAGCCAAAGTGACCACACTGAGAGGCTGTGTTCCAGGAATGAACCTGCCCTAGTATCCCTCTTGCACCCAGTCATTCACTGGCTGGGAGCAGCCTACACACAGCCTCATTGCCTATGTATTGGTGGATTTCAGATCTCAGAAGCCAGTGCTGTTGTTCACTCATGCTTCCTGTAGCTGGAGGTCTGCAAGTTCATTTCTCATGGCCACTGCAATGGTCTGAATGTTTGTGTCACCAGAAAATGCATACACTAAAATCCTAGCTCGCAAGGTGATAGTATTAAGAAGTGGGGCATCTTGGAAGGTGATTAGCTTACAAGGGCAGAAATCTTGTGAATGGAATTAGTGCCCTAATAAAAGATGTCTCAGAGTACTCTGTCTCCTCTTCTCTAGTGAAAAGGCAGTAGTCTTTGAACCAGAAAGCAGGCCATCCAAGACACAGAATCTGCCGGTGTCTTGATTTTGGACTTCCCAGTCTCTGAAACTATGAAAAATAAATTTCTGTTGTTTATAAGTCATTCAGTGTATGGCATTTTGTTATAGCCCAAACTATCTAAAACAGTTACTATAGCACCTATCATGTGGCAGACGTTGTCACACATATACTTCTTCATTACAACAACTTTGTAAGGTAGTATGATCATCCCATTTCACATGAAGAAATTTGCATCTAGTGAGGTTCACTAACTTTCCCAACTGAAAGCCTGTATGAAGTAGAACCAGAATTCAATTTCATGTCCATCTGGATCCAAAGCTTATTTGTTGAATTAATTAATTAATGCACAAATAAATGAAGAGGGGTTCCTTAGATGTACAGGAGGCTTAAAAAGACAAGTAAATTTACAATTTTAAAGCTGATGGGCCAGGTTCAGTGGCTCACACCTGTAATCTCAGCACTGTGGGGGACTGAGGCAGGTGGATCACCTGAGACCAGACTGGCCTGGCCAACATGGCGAAACCCCATCTAATACAAAAATTAACCAGGCATGGTGACACAAGCCTGTAGTCCCAGTTACTGGGGAGGCTGAGGCATGAGAATCTCTTAAACCTGGGAGGCAGAGCTTGCAGTGAGCCGAGATCAGCCCACTGCACTCCAGCCTGTGTGACAGAGTAAGACTCCATCTCAAAAAATAAATAAAAAATAAAGTAATAAAGCTGTTGCACAGAGAAGTAAACCATATAGCGACTTTGCTAGCAGGTAATTAAAACGTGTTTTAAAAACAGATGTCCCATCTGATTTTTCTCTCTACTAAATTACAGTGTTTTTGTGTAGTTTGAATTTTTATTGTATCAATACAGATATATTTTATAAGGGAAAGTGTAAGTCTACTTCACAAAAAGTTCAACTTTGTTCACGGTTTCTGTCCTACATATAAAACTAAATAATTAAAACTATATGCAAATTCACCTGTGTACATCAAGAGAGGAAGAGTCCCTTATAATATGACCTATATTTGTTCAGCTCCATGGAAACCATTTCATTCCATTATCCACATGATTTACATAAAACTAAGGGGGAAAAAGGTAAGAGATGTGAAGAGGCAAAACCTGAAAGGAAACAATAGGGCATCATTCATGACTAAGAAGTTGAGGGGAACCCAGGGCTGTTTCCTGAGCCTGTGCAGGTATACAACACAGCCATCCATAATCGTGCATCTGTCTCTAATAGCATAAGATATAGTGAAAAGGAAAAATCCACACTTCCCCATTCCAAAACAGGCATTTGGACAACTCAGGTCCTCTTTAAGTTGCTGAATCTTGTTTACTCAAAAAAAAAAGCTCTGTCTGACTGCAAAATATAACAATAACAGTAACACACACACACACACACACACACACACACACACACACACACACACAAAGCACATCACTTACTTTTACTTATTCCACCGAAAGAAAATAGAAAAGGAAGAAATAGCCCAAATAACTCAGGCCCCACCTCTATTGCTGCTTGAAATACTGTAAGTAATTGAAGAAAAGTCAGAGAATATTGCTTGAATTATATAGTTATTTGCTTCAATTGTTCCCTTCCGTATGTCTTAGATATCTGGCCATCCCACAAGCATAACAGATTGCCAATCATGCACTCATGAAGGTAAACCAGGGCTACCACCCTCCCCCTAGCTCTCACATATTTGATAATCCCAAAAATACTGATTGCATAACATCTTCTTTTTAAAAAGTGGTTCTTTGAACGTATTTTTTTCATGGAGTTTACTGTTCTGAAGCACAAATGAGTTCTTTGCCTGTTTCTGAACAAGGAAAATGGTTCTTGCTGTGGAATACAAAGAACAGGTATACCTGACCTTGAGAATGTTTGCTCTGTGTGTGTATTCCACTTGAAGTAAAATGGTCCTGGATTTAGGTATCAGTGAGCTGAGAAACACAGGCACACCATGCCCTTAGAGTAAAGCTGATTTAGCTCTGACACTTCCCTATTTGCCAAGCCAAAGCTGTTGCACAAATCACACAGTCTGTAAAAGAGAAAGGGGAAAAACTGCTTCATCCAGTTTTTCTGCCTAAGGGCTGAATCAGATACACCTCAGCTTCAATTGTAAACCTCTCCCAGGAAGTGAACTCCTAACCGTGACATCAGCAACCTTGTCTAGGACACGTACATTTTCAAGGAGTGACAGCTTGAGGCAACTATTCCAACCTATTTACCAAAAAGCATAGTGAATTAAATTCTTCATGTAATTTGATTTAGAAAGGGATTCCTTTCCAGGTTATATTTCTAGTTTCGTCTGGTTAGGAAATTTGGTGGGTAAGAGAATACAAAAGCTGTTGAAGTAATAATGATTGTTGTCTTTCTGGTTGACTTCTATGCCACTTGCTTTTGAATTAAAAAGTGCAATGAAGGCTGCCTCTATAAACATTTTTTAGTATTTGGATTAGTCAGTTTCTAGATGCCAGGAGGACACTTACCAAAACCATAACTCATTCTAACTAGTAGGAAAATTATCTGATTATAAAATTAGTATCATTTATTACTTTTATCATTGTTAATTCTCCTGGAACGATAATGATCATATCAGCTTCAGTTATTATTTCAAATAAAGACAACCATCCTAACTAGAGCCAAGATGTTTTGTTTTTATACATGAAAAGGAGTTTAAATAATATAGCAATAAAATGGAATTGTGGTTGAGGGTAAATTGTTAAAAAAAAACTTAATCTAGGCTGATAAACACTGGAGATCTATATTAAACTGATATCAGTTCCAAAAGAAATTGTATACCCAATGATTTTATAAAGTATTTCAAAGCAAAATTATGACAATGAGAAGGAAAACAAATATTCCCAGTCAACTCAAATTTTGTTTTCCTGATTTCATGATGGGTTAGTTAATCTCCTAAGAACACTTAAGAGGTATTATACTCTCCTCCTGTGGCAAGAAAGGATGACTTCAATGTCAAGCTAAGCGTTTTCGGTTATACCCAGTGTATAGGGAAAGTCCACGGAAAATTTTTGTGTGAAACAATGATTTTAGAAATCTAACTTGGCAATAGTATGAAAATTAAATTGGGAGGAAAAGAAGACAGAAAGATCATTTGGAAAATTAGTAAAATAGGACAAATTTAATTAAGAATATGCCGAGAGAGGTAAGAAGAGTGATGAAAGCAGCATGAAAGTAAGCTTTTGGAAAGTTAGCAAGTGATTGAACGCAGAAGCTGAGGGAATTAGGAACATGAGAAGGTTTAGCGAAATGTGGAAGAAGTTGCATTCTTTTTATTTCTTTTTTTATCTTATTTTTTATTTTTTTATTATACTTTAAGTTCCAGGGTACATGTGCACAACGTGCAGGTTTGTTACATATGTATACATGTGCCATGCTGGTGTGCTGCACCCGTTAACTTGTCATTTACATTAGGTGTATCTCCTAATGCTTCCCTCCCCCCTCCCCCCACCGCAAAAGTTGCATTTTTCTTTGGAGCATGCTGCATTTAGAGATTTGCAGCAGAAAATTCCCAGTGTAGAACAGAATCTCCAGTAAGATATGAAGAGTAGCAATAACATCATCACTAGCCATCCACTTAGAGGTAAGAGTTGAGTGTGCCTGATATTGCCAACATGGAAAAATAGGCTGATGATAATCAGGGACTGAACTTTGGAAAATACCTACATTTGGAAAATTAGAAGAGGAAAAAGAATTAAAGAATGAAACAGAATAGTTGAACAAATGTATGAAAAACCTAAGATGATACCATCTAAAACTTATTTTGCAAAAAACAAAGGAATTTTTGAAAGATGAAATATTGGAGACTAAGAATGTAAAGAAGGAAGAAGAAACAAGACTATGTAGCTTGTAAAAGTTTGCTTACAGGATTTGGAGTATTATTTCACATCCTGTCCTGCAGGCTGGGAGAAGACCATTGAAAACAGAAGTTAAAAGTACCAGGGTCCTGGCAGATGCACTAAATTGCGCTACATATGACATAGAAGGCACAATAACGAAGGATGGGGAACATTTTTTCCTCAAAATGAAGAAAGAAGAAAAAAACCAAGAGATTGTAATGGTGTAAAATCGAGGGAGCTTGAGATAGAATGTCTAAGGTAATCTGCAAAGGAAATGGCGAGGGGCGGGAGCACAGAGCAGAGGATTGGGTTTTGAAATAAGCGAGAAAGGTTGGAACATGCGCTTTGGAAAATAGGATATTATAAACAAGTCACTGTAACCGGGCACTTTCATGTCACTATGTATTTCCACCATAAGCATGGTATTTTTCTCCCATGAATTTTTCTCTTTCACTCAATATCCTAGTTGCTTTCAAAGCCATTGGATAATTAATATCCTTGATAATTAGCTAACCCACTGAAACTTATACTCTGCAACTATGGTCTAACTTGTCACTACTTTTTCTACAAATTAAGAGATTAAAGAGTTTGACCAGTTACTACACTTTCAAATAAACTAAAAAAACTTAAAGTCTTCACTTCTTGCTTTGAACACGGCACTAGAGTATCAGAAAAATTGGTGCTGACTCCTTAGAGAACAAGTGCCTTGGCATTTGGCCCCTTCAACTTGCTTCTATCATGTCAAAGTCTATTGTAGTACAATATATACCATTGTTTTCTTGTCCTAAATTGTCACATCCTGTTGCTCTGCATGAATCTGTAAGTGCCAAGTTACGCCCTAAAAAGAGATGTTTTCCAATGGTGGGTCTATGGCACAGTTTATTAATAAGAATCTTAGTTCCAGATGAAAGAACAGATCTGGGAAGCAGGCTTCTGGAGCATGCATTGCCAAAAGGAACACATGAAGTCAAAAGTGGTGAAAAGGTGGCTTTTAACATTCTAGTACATGATTATATAAGCATGTGTGATATCAAATCTTTCTTTAGAAATTGACAAGGAACCTGCTTGAGCACCAATTTAAGGTTTTACTATTAAGAAGACAACAAATATTTAGTTGAGAGTGTGTCCCATAGCTTACCTGACAAAAATGTCCAGAATGACAATTCCATTAATATCAAAGTTTATATCCAGACAGGAATTCTCTGAAGGCAAATGTTAGCCCCAAATAAACCTAATTGGGAACAAGAATTTCACCAAATCCTACAGGGTGGTCAGGACTATCCAACATCTCTTTACTCAAAGGAATGGACTTCTGGAATAATGTATATATTAGTTAAAATGAGTTTCATCTGAACATATGCATGCCATATTCATACCAGGAAAGCAGAAGAAAACACTGAAGAGTCACCTATCTCACCAGGTCCTCCTTTCATGAATAGCTGAACATACCAGCAAGGAATATCTGTCTCTCTCTCTCTCTCTCTCTCTCCCCCTTCCCCTTTCCATTCTTCCCTATTCCTTCCTCTCCTTCTTCCTCTTTGTCTCTCTTTGTTAGAGATTTCCAGTGCCAAGTAGACAAAATTCTTCTCAGCAGATCTACTCTAATGTTTTATTGCCACAGTGTTGAACTTGTTCATTCACACTGAATTAAAAATTTATCTATTCCAATAGTTGTATAGGTAATATACTTCAGTTTTCCATGGAAAGTAATTTTCTATTTTCTTCTTTTAAAAGGTAAAATTCTATGTAACAAATCTGCACATGTACCCCCCTGAACGTACAATAAAAGTTGAAAGAGAACAAAAAGTTGACATACCTTTTTTCTACCTTGGTGCAGAAGAAAAAAAGGCTTTGGCTTTTACAAAAAAAAACTTATTTAAAAAATAGTCAATGATTCAACTAAAATTATATTTATAAGAGTATCATGTATGAAAAAATAATTTTATTTTATTTTATTTCATTTTTTTGAGACAAAGTCTCACTCTGTCACCCAGGCTGGAGTGCAGTGTCAACGATCTCAGCTTACACAACCCCCACCTCCTGGGTCCAAGCAATTCTCCTGTCTCAGCCCCCTAAGTAACTGGGACCACAGTCACAGGCCACCTCCACTGGCTAATTTTTGTATTTTTAGTAGAGAAGGTGCTTCACCATGTTGATCAGACTGGTCTCCAACTCCTGACCTCAGGTGATCCACCCACTTCAGCCTCCCAAAGTGCTGGGATTACAGGTGTGAGCCACCATGCCCGGCCAAAGAAATTGTTTTTTAAAAAGCCAAAGTGTGGTCAGGCGTGGTGGCTCACGCCTGTAATCCCAGCACTTTGGGAGGCCAATGTGGGTGGATCACCTGAGGTCAGGAGTTCAAGAGCAGCCTGGCCAACATGGCAAAATCCCATCTCTACTAAAAATACAAAAATTAGCCAGGTGTGGTGGTGCATGCCTGTAATCCCAGCTACTTGGGAGGCTGAGACAGGAGAATAGTTTGAACCCGGGAGGCAGAGGTTGCAGTTAGCCGAGGTTGTGCCACTGCACTCCAGCCTGGGCGACAGAGTGAAATTTTGTCTCAAAAAAAAAAGAAAAGAAAAAGCCAAAGTGTGCATATTATTAATAAAGCAATGCAGTGATTTTAGATATTAATTTTGAAAAGAAAAGGAGAAATTCTTTGGGAGGCCAAGGCGGGCAGATCACCTGAGGTCAGGAGTTCCAGACCAGCCTAGCCAACATGGTAAAACCCCGTCTCTACTAAAAATACAAAAATTAGCTGGGCATGGTAGCAGGCCCCTGTAATGCTAGCTACTTAGATGGCTGAGGCAGGAGAATCGCTTGAACCCAGGAGGTGGAGATTGCAGTGAGCTGAGATCATGCCACTGCACTCCAGCCTAGGTGACAGAGTGAGACTCTGTCTCAAGAAAAAAAAGAGAGAGAGAGAGAGAGAGAAAATTAATTTAATTAAACTGAATAAAAAGGAAAACTTTCCTAAACAAGAGATGTTTACTAACTAAATATCCAAAGATCTTTTCATCTCCTTTGGAGAGCCTACTTCCTTTCCTTGTAATGATTTTTGTTGTTTCCCTCTAGGTTGGTATTGGTTTCTCCACCTACCTTTAAAAATGCAGTAGTTAAAACTCGACATATTCAAAGTAAATTTTTATTCAACATGAGACTGCTACGTTTCCCACTTTTGAGAGCTTCCTTGGGATTATGGTGACCTTAACAAAGCTTGTAGCCTATAGGTGACTCTGTCCACTAACATTCAGAAGAAAAAATCTGAGCAGTGAATGATCCAGGGACAAGACTGTTCTTTCACCAAGTATAACTCAAGCATACACAAGCTAGCAGCAAGGGTTCAGAGATTCCCAAGCTATTGGAAAATTATAACTTTTAGTTCCTTAAAATGTGTGTTAGAAGCCACCAGTCATCAAACAAAATATGTTTCCTTTTTCATCCATGATAACAAGATTGTAGCAGGGTATGTGAATAGACCACATTTCCCAGCCCCCTTGAAGTTGGATGTGGCTGTATGGCTTAGTTCTCTCCAAAGGATAATGAGTGGAAGAGCTATCTGCCATTTCTGGATCTGAGCTTGTAAGGGAATCAGTATGCCTCTTCTGCGCTATTGTTCAATTTCCATCTGCTGAAGGCAAATAGCAATGAGGCCCTAGAACAGCAGACATTTTTTCCCTCTAGCAAAGACATCTAGCAAGAATAGCGATATTTTGGGTTGCCATTACTGAGGGATGCTACTGGCATCCAGTGAGTAGAGGCTAAGGATGCTACTAAACCTCCTACAGTGCACAGATTTGTCCTCAAAAACAAACAATGTCAATAGAGCCAAGATGGAGAAACCTTACATCCCTACTGTAAAGGATGACAGGGCTACAATATTGAATTTGCCCAGTTCCCTGGATGACTACAAAGAGCAGAGCTATCCTGCCTGCCTGAACACTTTCCAGGACTATTACCAGAGATGGATAGAAATTTCTACTGTGTTAAACCTAAGAAGTTTTGAGTCCACTCGTTACCACAAACCAGCCTACTGTAACAAGAAGGTCACATAACATGTAATGTTCAATATACAAATTGTTTTAAACAATGACACATATACATCTCCAACAATCTTTTCCTCATTCCTTTTTTGTTCCTTTGTTAAATATATTGGCATTTTAAATTCCTTTCCATGTCTTCACATGCTTATTTCTGCAGGGTAGTCTTACTGTTTGTTTCCAGTTTTCTTTGGGTGCATTGCTTATAGTAAAACATAAGCTTCATAGGGGCAGGAGCCATGTCTGTGCTCCCATGATACATATTGATCTAGTATTGTGTCTTATACAGAAGTAGACTTAGAAATATTTGCTGAATGAGCCAGGCATGGTGGATCACACCTGTAATCCCAGGACTTTGGGAGGCCAAGACAGGAGGATTGCTTAAGCTCAGGAATTTGAGAGCAGCCTGGACAACACAGCAAGACCTTGTCTCTACTAAAAATAAAAAATAAAAATTAGTAGGGTATGGTGGTGTGCACCTGTAGTCCCAGCTACTTGTGAGGTGAAGCAGCAGGATTTCTTGAGACCAGAAGATTGAGGCTGCAGTGAGCCATGATCACACCACTGCTCTCCAGCCTGGGTCACAGAGCAAGACCCTGTCAAAAAAATAAAATTACTAAATGAATTGCAGAAAAGAAGATCTTAATAAAAGAAAACAGTCTATGAGATCAGTCTTGGATAAGCTGTTTCCAGTATATTAGCTAAAATTGATCAAGGGTTCATCTTCGAAACACTCACAAACTACAGTTAAATGAGTCATTCTAGAATTTTTGCTTAAAGTAACTTCATACTCACTAGATTATAATCTGTAGAATCTACCTCCTTGTTTTTGAAAACTCCAATATTATTAAGTAATGAGGCCATCTGGTCCTTGTCATTATAAAAACACTGATTCTTCTATTTTGAGGTGAAATTATAATCTTGAGCAACACCAACAGTTATTGACTTTTTCAAATTAGGAGGTAATTCTTAAAAGAATGTTAATAGTTCAAGTCAGCATCCCTTTCTAGCTCTAAACAAGGACTTTTGCCTGTGAAATAAAGGAGAGAAATAATATATATTTCACTTTCAGAAGACCTTTAAATGGCAATGAAGAGACACACCTATGACTGGTGATTGATAGCAGGTGCAACGTGCAGTTAACTGTGGGCTAAAATAAACACCTCGACCAGCACTATGCACACAAGAGACCTCGGTGAATGGAGTGGTGTGTTTAGACAACGATTGCTGGAGAACAGTGTACCCATAGTTAGCTCATTCCTGTAAAGGATATGCTATCAACCTGTTTTAGATTAGGAAAAATAAATTTCGTTGTTGTTTCTTGCTAGCCTCGAGTCCTACCTTCATTTAACTTAGTGATTTTTGTGCTTTCTCTGGGTCTACATTTCTATACCAAAAGGAGAGAGTGGAATGTGCAAGGTTATCAAAAGAATGTAACCAGGCACAGGGCATTTGAATAATCTTCAGTGGCCCAGAGTCGAACAGAAGCTAAACTGCAAACTCCTTAGCTTGTCATTCAAGGTCTCCTACAGTCAGTATCCAACCTACTTTGGCTGAATTACCTTCGAAACCTTTCACCACGGTTGAACTCTTTCTGTACTGTCTTCCAAGCATATTGTGCAATGTCTTTTGCTCAAGCTCTTCTAATACTAGAAAGGCTACTTTTCTCTACTTCACCTATTTGAGAATCCACACTCTTCAAAAGTGAACTCAAATCCTACCACCCTGCACCAATAGAATTATCTCTACCATAGCTTGAAGCTTTCTCTCTCCCTCTTCTGAAATCCTGTAACAATTAAGCATGTCTAGCTTTGTCACACGTCTTGCATTGTTATCTTAAAGACTGTCATCTTAATTAGCAAACTAAAATGCTTACTTTACTTAGCTTTTCATAGCATATGTTTTGTCTTCCAGTTTATTTTGTAAGAGAGCAAGTTCCACATGCTACCAGTTTCTATGCAGCATATATAGATATATTTTATATATATATATATATATATATATATATATATATATATATATATATATATATATAATAGTCAGCACTCAGTAAATACCTAGAACAGTCATTGAAATTAAAACATTGAAAATAAGAATATTTCTAAAAGGCTTTCCTTAGGCTGAAGTAGTTTAAGAATAATACAGTTTGAAAGAATGTGTTCTAATGAGAACACTTGGACACAGGAAGGGGAACATCACACACTAGGGCCTGTTGTGGGGTGGGGGAGGGGGGAGGGATAGCATTAGGAGATATACCTAATGTAAATGACTAGTTAATGGGTGCAGCACACCAACATGGCACATGTATACATATGTAACAAACCAGCACGTTGTGCACATGTACCCTAGAACTTAAAGTATAATAAAAAAAGAAAGAAAAAGAAGAATGTGTTCTTAAATCAATTTGAACCCCAAATAAGGACTGTGAGTACTATTACTACTGCTGCCACTTAATTATATTCACGGTACTGATATGCTACTTTCACTGATGTAAATTATACGTCAAAGGGGCATGTTCCTGGCCTTAAGTAGATAATTTGGTGTGGTTCCCATTGTGTTTGTTTAACCAACTTGGTGCAATGCCCAGTAGAACGACCAGGATAATGTGGAGCCTTAATACTTTGTTAGTGGATGCTAATGCAGTTATAACCTGAGTTAACCTTTGCTCCCAAGTGCTTCCTCACCTGCAAAAGTTGAACTGAGTTCTCTCCCAAGCTCCAATGTTGTTTTAAGCTAAATAGCTAAAATCACTTTTAAACACAAAAGTCTTCTCACACTTTACATGAGCCATATAGTTTTCTGAACCATGGTCCTTATAAGCAAAGATTTTTTGAAAGATATTAAAATTGAAAAGAAAGATTGCATCCAGGTCTCACCCTAGTGACACATACTTAATTCTCAGTTCCATGTGAGACCATTGAATAATATGGTACTTGGTTTTCCAACATTCTCTGAAAAAATCTAAATAAGGTATTGAGGAAAATATAGCACTATACTAACCCCATCATTTAATATTTATATTTTTCAATTTCTTCACAGATCTAACATTGTAAATCCATAATTTACAATCAGGAACTAATATGAGAGAAAAGTTTCCTGAGTGTAGCACTGAATAAGTATCTCCAATTCACAATGAATATAACTCATAGTAGGATGCATAGTTTGTTTTAACATAAGTTTGCCATCTTTTATTATTCTGATGATCAGAGTTTATCTATATATGAGTCTAGAAACCCTCACTGCATTGTGACAATACAAACTTAAATCACATAATCTTCTCTCAAGGACGTAGAAATGTCGAGGGTAGGAAAATATTATATTAATAACATAGCAGACTCTCTGCCTTGCCCCACCCCCACAGTGGGCAGTCTAGTGAACGTGACTCTTCAAACTACACTAAAATAGAGAGTCAGACACAACTGGCAACTTCTAAAGAAAGGGAAATTGGGGATTAGTACATGTCCAGTTATTGCTCAATTATATCACAGAAGAAAGAAAATTTGCATGTTTCCAAAGTAAACTTTGGGAGCCACTGATGCCCTCCCACTCTGTTCCACACACAGGCTGATGATGTGGAAAGACGGTAGTGCTCCTGGCCACATGAAGCTGGAAGAAGGCCAGCTTTAACCCTTTCAGGAGCATATGAGTGAGCCCAAGGCAACTTTTATAATCAAGACCAGACCAGAATTATCTCATGTAGCAAGAACACATGAAGCTACACTGCACTCTTTTATTATGTATACATTTTTCTTATATTTAATCCCAAACTACACTAAATCTCTCATAAGAAAAATACATATTAATGTAAATGAATTTATTTTCCAGGCTGAAAAATTAGGTGAAGGCAGAGTTGAATGAATCAAAAGAGTTACAATTCATCTTTGGTAACAGAGAAGCAGAGGTCTGGAAGTCACCTGTTAGTGTAGAGATTGAGACCCTCCCGGACCATTTGTATAGAGATAGAATAAAAAGAGCAAAACAAATCTTAGGTTCCAGATATCTCACTCCAGGTCTACAAACAGAGGAGTTGTTGCTTAGTGATTAAGCAGCTCCCTTTTAAACATTCTGCACTTTCTCCTAAAGCCACATAAACTTCCAGGTCCCATTTGCAGTGGAACGTGTGCATTTCCTAAAGAACTGTCTCTTAAATATTGTGTAGTCATGACTCCCTTGAGAATCTGATAAAGCATGAACACCTCACATTGGAATAATTTTTGAATTTCCATACCCACCAAATTTACATATGTTTACAGTGATCCAGAAACCTCCCAAAATTCCATATGAAGACATGTAGGTCCATAAAAAACAGATTAAGGACCAGTGCCTTAAAGGGTGATAGATGTGGAAAATGAAAGGCCACAACAGAACTACTACTGTTCATGAACAAAATAAATTATTCTCTTGAAAGGGACTGAAGTATTGAGAGCCCCTTAAGTTTTCTCTATTTCTCATTTTCCTTCTTAATCTTCCTCATTTCTTCAAGTGAAAGTGAAAGATTCAGATGCCAAACTTTCCAGAAACCACCTACACTGCACCATTCATCTGCCAGAGGGGGTCACTATGCAGCTAATTGTTCACCCACAAAAATAAAGCCTACCTCTATTCTTTTCCCTAACTGTGCCCAGAAGAATTACTTTAAAATGCATTTTCCACACTATAAAGTGTGTCCTAACAAAACACAATAAACTCAACAGCAATGTGATTACTGTACTTGTAAAACAGTTGGTGTTTTAGCAATATGTCCTTAAAAAAAAGTATGCTTGGAAAAATGGATTCTGTTTCAACAGTTAAAAGGACATAATTATTTTTCTGCCACATAACAATTTTTAAATGTTAATGAGTTAAAATACAGTACCAAAACAGCTCCCATGCAATAATACAGCATATCATTTGGCTGCCTGGTTCGTATTCCTTTGTTTTTCTTTCTATGGTCAAATAATATGCGGTAACCTGGGAAGACCACAGGTATCAGGTAACTATAGCATGACAATCACATGGGACAGCTTGCTCTTCCATAAACTTTCTCCAAATTTATATAACTAGGTTTTCTCAACCTCAGACTTAAGGATATTTTGGGCCCAATGAGTCTGTTGTGGGAGCTGCACTGTTCAATGTTGAGTAATTAATAGCACCCCTGGCTTCTATCCACTAGAGAACAGCTCCCACCTCCACTCTGCAGTCATAGCAATCAAAAATTCTCCAAATATTGGCAAAAGTCATCTAGGTGGCAAAATTGTCCCCGGTTGAGAATCACTGATATAAACCATGGTTATAGGAAAAGAGTCATTGGGAAGGCAGTATGCACTGTATCACTGTGCCTAAATAATCTATCCACTAGATGGGGAGTGAGGGGTGGCTAATTTTCTCAATTACATTCATCTAATATTGTGAGCAATGCCATCATCATGACTCTGTCTGTCCAAAGAGTTACTAAGTTCATCAAGAAAAAATAATTTATTTGAAACCTCAATGATTTCATATAGCTAATAAAGGAAACCTTAAAATCTCATGAATTGCTTCTATTCATTTATTTAACAAGAACATATTAAGAAGCTAGACTATGCCAGATACTGTGAGAGAAGCTGGATTCCAGATTTAAAATGGTAAACACATTCCTGCCTTCAGAGGTTCAATGCCAATACAAAAGTCAAGTAAGGAAATAGGCAATTATGGTATATATATATATATAGCAAGTACTATCATGGGGAAAGTAGCTGGGAAACTTTAACTAGACTTAAGGGATTTCAAGAGATTCCTAGAAGACATTATATGTAAGCTGAGAACTAAAACACGAACAGAAATGAGAGGAAGCAAAGAGGATGAGAACATGACTAAGAAGCTGGAACAGCATGAGAGGTGGCCCAGAGACGTGATAAAGAGCGGTCGAGGAAATATAAATATTATGATATGGATAGAGTGTAGCAAATAAGGGAGATTTTTAAAGAAGTAAGAGGGAGAGGAAAGCAGGGGCCAAGTCATGAAAAAAATCACGTTAGGGGGCCTGAGGTTTATTGCAAGACAAAGGAAACTCAGTAAAAAAGTTTCAAGTGGGAAAGTGGAATTATTAGATTTTTGCAGGGAGATCACTCTAGCTATAGTGGGTGTATTAGTCAGGGTTTCTCAGAAAAGTAGAACCAATAGGGTGTGTGTGTGTGTGTGTGTGTGTGTGTGTGTGTGTGTGTGTGTGTGTGTGGAGAGACAGAGAGAGAGAGATTTATTATAAGGAATTGGCTAGTGCAATTATGGCATATCCCAAGATTCGTCTAGTGAGTCAGCAAGCTGGAGACCAAGGTAAGTATTTTCATCTATTCAGACTTTCGACTGATTGGATGAGGACTACCCATGTTAGGAAGGGCAGTCTACCTACTTTACTCAGTCTATCCATGTAAACGGTAATCTCATTGGAAAACACCCTCACAGAGATGCCCAGAAAAAATGTTTGACCAAATACCTGTACACTCTGTGGCCCAGTCAAGTTGGCACATAAAATTAACCATCACAGTGATGAATATGAAGACTGAATCCAGGGGAACGCAAGGAAAGCTGGCACAGTAAACTAGGCAAGATATTATAGTGACCCGTACACCGTGGAAATTTCACCATCGATTATTTTAATAGAGGTCAAAGCCTGTCACGTAGTAGGAACTTATTGACTAGGCAGTTAATATTTGTCAAATTAGTGAATGAATGTGAATGTGTAAAATGGAAGGTTTTTTTGTTTGTTTGTTTTTTGTTTTGTTTTTTTTTGAGACGGAGTCTCGCTCTCTCACCCAGGCTGGACAGCGCAGTGGCACGATCTCGGCTCACTGCAAGCTCCGCCTCCTGGATTCACGCCATTCTCCTGCCTCAGCCTCCCGAGTAGCTGGGACTACAGGCACCCGCCACCACTGCTAATTTTATTTCTTTTTTTTTTTTTTTTTGGTATTTTTTTAGTAGAGACGGAGTTTCACCGTGTTAGCCAGGATGGTCTCAATCTCCTGACCTCGTGATCTGCCCACCTCGGCCTCCCAAAGTGCTGGAATTACAGGCGTGAGCCACCACGCCTGGCCAAATCGAAGACATTTTTAAAGGAATTTTTTAATTTAAAATCTTGGAAAATAATCCCATACATCCATGATAGTATGCCTACTTCTAAATAATTTCATCAGTCCTGTTCAAATCAGAAACCATTTAATGTTATTTCAAACTTTAAGTGCTATACTGTTAACAGTCAACGTTGGTAAGTTACAATGAAAAAGACAGTTTCATACACTTGATGGAATTTCTGGATGGCAATCTGGCAGCATTAAAAATGTTTCTACCCTTTGGCTTAGAAGCTCTCCTACTATGTTTCTATTCTAAGGATTGTTTATTGCAATGAAAAATTGAAAGCAGCTTAATGTCTAACATAGAAGAAAGCACTAATTAGTATCCACCAAGTAAAAATCTTGTTTTCAATGTCATTTTGGTGAAATAGGCAATGCTTAAAAAATATGTTAACAAATTAGAACATAGAACTTTATATATAATATAATAAATCTTCATTTCTCTTCAGTCTTATCAGTAACTGAGATTGAGAGCTAAGCTGTGTACAAAAGAGGGAAATAATCTGAATTTATAAAAAAATGTATATCTACATGTACGAAGTTGCATATACTTTGACATTTTATTCTCTTTTATTCATTGAAATTAGACTCTTATTAGTTAAATATCCACTCAATGAATGTTTAAAAAGAAAATGAATAAATGAGTGGATGCTGCTAATTGCAAATGGCCAGATGTCTGCATATTAACTGTAAACCCTCTACTTGCTTCACTGCAGGAGAAAGTAAGAAGTCTTTGAAGGCTGTCTTTCCAGTGATAATATGCATATCCTGACTGTTTTGAAAGAACTTTAAGAACTTGGGTTTGGAAAGGCAGAATAGTTTACTAGAATTTTTTGTTCATGGAGTCACATAACCCAATTCAGTTAGTTTTCAAATTTCTGTAAAACTGTGAAGGGCCTTAAAAGGTCTTGCAGCCTGGTTTCCAGGCACTGACATTAACAGCTGCCTGTGTATGTGTGTATGAAGGGACGAGTACAGGAGGTCCTTTCATAAGTGTTTCCAGTACTTAAGGACCTCCTTTGTCAATTCTTGCTTCAAGTCCAGTCCATTCCTTCTTGTCTGGCCTTCATAAAGTATAGTAGAACAGCTGGGCTCCATTCTTCTTATATAATTTTTCAAACACTCAGAGAGTTACTTGTTCATCTATTAATTCTCAATCCTCCACAACCCTATTCCCTGTGAAGTTATTTTAGCTTTATATTCTGATAGAGTGTTTTCCCTAACAGTTAGGCATATGTCCTAGGCCTCAATTCTCATCTTCTCCTGGAAGCCTTTCCTAGTTATAAGGCTGGTATAAAATTCACTGCTGCACTAAGCATTGCTTTAAAAAAAAAAAAAAGTCAGTCTTTGGAGCTAGGCTGTGAAATGAGAATAAGTAGATAAACCCATGGTATTTGTTTCTTGAAGTACTCTCCTAAAGGGAAGGAATAAAGCATCTGCAGTGTGCTTGATCATTTGCCTCATACCTTGCTTATAGAGAGTCTCTAGAAGAAGGTGTACTGAAATTGTGTTAATTTTTCCTTAAATTACACCTTCATTACTCTAACAAGGCTTGTTCATAAACAAAAAATTTACCACCGTTTACAGAAGTGCTCACTTTTTTCTTAGGAGTGGGTCATTTGTTAGAAGGATCTAGCGTTTTGAGTGCCCTTATTCAATCAGTAAACTTGTTGAGTGGGAATACCTTACTCCCAGAAGAAATAATCTGATGGCAGACTTTTATTTTATTAATACTTTAAAGCATTCCTAACATTTATGGTGTATGCAGCTATTTAAAAATGAACAAGGAGGCCAGGTGCAGTGGCTCATGCCTATAATCCCAGCACTTTGGGAAGGCAAGATGGGTGGATCACTTGAGATCAAGAGTTCAAGATCAGCCTGGCCAACATAATGAAATCTCATCTCTACTAAAAATACAAAAATTAGTCAGGCATGGTGGCAGGAGCCTGTAATCCCAGCTACTCAGGAGGCTAAGGCAGGAGAATCACTTGAACGCGGGAGGCGGAGGTTGCAGTAAACTGAGATTGCAACATTGCACTCCAGCCTGGGTGATAGAGCGAGACTCCCTCTCAAAAAAAAAAAGATGAACAAGGAGATTCAAGAAATGGGGAGTCCCCATGCTATGGCTATAGTAGTATATATTACTAAAGCACCTTAGTAGTCCTAGAGATATGAAAAAGAAGCTATCTCTCCTAACTACTCAATAATTCTATGTTATTAGAATACTATTCATAAGAATCAAAAATATATTTCTTCCTTTATTAACATTCTATTGTTTGTTGGCTTATTTTTTTAACTCTGTGAGTGCTGATTGCTCAAAAGGCAAATGATAGGAATGGTTCTCTCTCACACACACACTCTAGCTCTCCTTGCACACATACTCTGCTGCACACACACACAAAATTCCGAAATAAAATTACTATGGGGTTGCTCTTTGCACCAAATCAAGACCACTTAAAAAACTTAACCAACATTGCTAATAGAGCTTACCATCAAAACTGCAGCAAAGAATCAAAATAAAACCCTAAATACTTCATATTATTAATGGAAGGTGATTAAAAGAAAAAAGCCTTTGCAGTATAAGTCTAATCTAGCTATGTGATTGACTTATTAGTTAAATATGAATTTATAATCAATTACCAAATATCGGTCCAGATAAGTAGGTCTTTACATATTTTTTAAATGTTAAAAATGTTTAAAAATAGTTATCCACAATTAAGTAGGGTCTGTCTTTGAAATGGATACAAATAATAGATCCTTTTTTGAAATTAGATATTTAAAATTTGATTTTTTTGATGTTACAAAATATTAACTGTAGCTGGTACAAAATACATTTAATTATGGCTAATTGTTAGACTAAATGAGCTAATTGCTTATATGAAAATTTCACATGCATTTTCTCTACCATGGTCAATATCAGTTTGAAAGCATAAAATTTTCTAAAATAAAATATTTTATCTGTGAGAGAACACATCCAAAGGTATTCTGTGAGAAATAGAAAAGTTACAGAGCTAGAAGACTTTCTTAGGCTACCAGGGTAGGGGAACTAACTGTAGATTAGAGATTCAAACAAAGAAGAAGCCAAGAGTTTTTCCATAAAATGTGACTGCCCAAAAGCTCTCAGTCCACAGTACTCACAAGGAGTGATCACTACTGAATTGCTCATCACAGAATTCCTGGTGATTTCTACAGCAATGTATTTTTCTAAATGTGGTTTACTTAAAAGGATGAAGTATTTATAATATTAACCAAGATTATAAAATCTTCTTTCAAACCTAGATTAAATAGATATTTCTATAGTTCTCTTTGGATAATGATTTTCTCTTTTCAACTTTTCTTTTTTTTTTTCCTTTTGACAGCTAGAGTCCCCAAAGGAACAAATGAGAATAGCATTTCATGGATGAGAAATCATATCACCTTCATCACACATCTCACCTCTTGACATTACTTGCAATTGGATAAACATGGGGGACAGTCCTATTGAACTGATTCCAACTTTGGCTGGACAATTACAATTCACCTGCTACGTTTCTGAACCAAAGTGATTCTGCTGTCACTGGAGGCTTTAAAATTCTGAGCATAGTGGAGAGACACTCTTATCAAACAGGACATTAGAGTTCAACAAATAGTTATTAAAACCAACGCTCTTCACAGGGTAATAACTTTTTCTGTGAGTAAATGATTTTAACTTACAGGAGGGTGACACAACATTTTAATCAGCTTAATTGCATTAAGTTTTTTTCCAGTTCTTTTACTCATTCCAAATGAGACATGCACCAACACCTTATTTAATTTTGAATCTATTATCAGGGAGTTGACTGAAATGCAAGCAAAACATCTTTTTCCAAACATTTCTTTGCACATGTTAGTGACTGCTAAACAAATTTCATTATTATTTAAAACTAGAAGGCTAATGCTACTTCAGATATATTTATTTATTGCACATTGCAATGGTTAAAAACTCATATATTTGTTGTGGTTTAATTTAAAAAGATAAATGAACACTGAGTCTTATACAAGGAGTCTTATACAAGGAAGAGAAATGAATGTCTAAACACTGAGTCTTATACAAGCAGTCTAATACAAGGAAGATAAATGAATATCTAATCGTGTTTGTAGCACATTCCAGGCAATGCCGTTAGTCACAGTTCTAACTACATTTCTAACTCAAGAAAATTACCCAAAAAAAAACACATCTTGATTTTTGAAAACATAAAGAAAAGTCCCTACAACATCAGGAGAAGGTGAAGCATGAGAAACAGATCAGGATCAGGTGGTATGGGATGAGCAGAGCTGCTGCCCTACTCCTGCTAACTCAGCAGCTACAGTATGTGAAAGCCACTTTTGCCACAGTTATAACAGCTATAGCAAAAGGTTGGGAGTCCAGCAGAAGTTATTTCAACATTTTAAATCCAAGCCTTTGGATAGAAAAAGTACCACCAGTAAATGGATTCTTCTTCAATGATTCACTAACTCACTTGTTTTCCACTCCATCTGATTTGGGAAGTACTCAAATCACACTCATAAATCAGAGTCATAACATGACACCTTATTAGGTGGAGTTTCAGTGAGGAAAATTGTAAGTAGATTGCAATGATTGGCATGAGGAAGGAAAAAGCCCTCCTAGCTGTTCTTAGAGTAATTTACTCCATATCAACAAGCAAAAGCAAATTCATACTTCCACATGCATAATATAGTATATAGAACCTTGTGCAAGGAACATGGTTAGTACCTTCTTGATCCATTTCTTCTACTTTGACAAGCCATTAGAATGCCATCAACATTATTTTCTTTTCAAAGTTCTTATTTCAAAAAAGTAATTTTATATATCTATCTTTTAAGTGAAAACTAATGGGTAATGTGATAATTCATCAGTCTTTAACTGTTCTTCTCCCAACATTTCCATATTCTAGTTCTAACTTTACCATAGTCCTCTCCCCTAGCAGTACCCTTGAACTTTGAATAAGGTCAACCATATCCAATTGTGCACTGTCTTTAGTGATTACTCATTGTGAATTGAGTGAACTTGTTCAAAACATGTGATAATAATTTCCTGTCCCAAACGCACATACAAAATATCCATGTAAAATACTTGATTATCTTGATTATCCATTTAAAATACTTGATTATCAATCACTTTCTCAACATTGTGAGCTGAGTGCCCAAGAGCATTCAAAGGCAATATGCTGAGAAATAATATAAACAATTCATCTCTAGATAATTCAGTTTGAAACAAGACCAAACCCATCTCATGAAGATGCCTGGTTTCCTGCAACATTACTAAATAACCTGTTCCTTTTTGAATCCCAAACTTGATCCAAAGCCAACAGAGCACTGGTGTCTGAGGAGTTAATTAGTGTAAATGCAAGAGTACACCCTGGGACTTCTCCAGAGTTGGTTTTATGCCGAAAGAAACCAAAATTATACACACCCATTATTCATAAAACATCTCTCTTCTATTCAGTTCAAAAGGTTAACATTTTGAAACTACATGGGATTGACTAATTACATATTTGGGCTTCTCAGATATGCAAGACGAAAGGATTGTTTATGTTCTAAAGAGATTCATTTAGCGAGGTTCATAGTAATCTTACACTCTAACAATTGTGTTTTCTTAAATGACTCTAAGGCCACAAAGAACACTAATATTTTATATTGTACTTTTTCATTACTTTATTACTTTTCATTCTAGTACTGTGGAATTCAAGCAGAGAAGCCAGACTGAAATGGGAAAAAAATAATCATATGGATATATAGAACTTAAGTCACATGAAAACTAAATCAGAAAAGTTATTTCCATTTTTTAAAATAATAATGGACAAATAATAATGGACAGTAATCATTAATAACGCTTGAAAAATAAGCAGATTTCAACATAAATGACTTTCTATACTACATGCCCACAGTCCCTTTTTAGCTGATTGAGTCCAAGAAGGTACCTGTTGAGTTGTACAAAAAGGCAATCTGGGCTCAAGGTCTGTAGTGGAATGTTGTTGCCTCTTTTCTCTTGTAAGAAAGAAAAAAAGGGAATGAAAGGGGGAAAGGATACAGAAAGGGAAGAAGACAGTAAGAGAGAAATGCAGAAAGAAAGAGATAAAAAAAAAAAGAGCGAGAGGAGGAAGAGAGGAAGGAGAAAGAGGAGAGAGAGAATAAAAGCTAAGGAAAGAAGGATGGAAAGAAAAAGAAAAGGACAGCCATTCCATGCTTTTGTATACTTTACTCAAACCAAAAATGATTTGTGGGAAATGTGATTTTTTGACACATGAGAGGGGCATGTGTGTGTTTCTCTGTTCCCTCTTTAGACTTAGCCTACATGAGGGTTCCTTTCAGTCCAAAGGGTACCCTCCACTCTAAAACCCTGGATTCCAAAATCAAGATTTGACTTGACATTACAGAACTCTGCAACTATTGAATCTGTATATGAAAAGACTGTTTATCTGAACTTTTTCATGATAACCTATTAAATAAAATAGCTGATCACTGCTAATAAATTCCAAAAGAGGAAATCTCTGAACATTAATTTAGAAAATTCAAGAGAATAAGAAATATAAAATGTGCTGACCCATATTTTCACTTTCAACATTGTCTCTTCTTCCTTCCTGGGGTTCCAAGGTATCTTCTTGTATTATTTTATGGTTAGAGAAGTTGTTTTAGCCACTATTTTAGGGTTGGTTTGCCGGTAACAAATTCTCTTGGTTTTCTTTCATCCGAAAATGTCTTCATTTCCCTTCATTCCTTGAGGATATTTTCAGTATAGATTTCTGAGTTGACAGTCATTTTCTTTCAGCACTTGAAAAATACTATGGTGCTTCCTTCTGGTCTCCACGGCATCTAATGAGAAATACTCTATCATTCAAATTCTTTTCCCTTATAGGTAAGGTGTCACTGATGTCTTATTGCTTTTGAAGTCCTTCTTTTATCTTTGGTTTTCAGGAGTTTGATCATGACATGATATGACTTAGACAGATGTCTTTGGGTTGTCCTGTTTAGGGTTTGCTTAGCTCCTTTTTTTCAATTTTTTCTTTTTATAGGTTATTGAGGAGCAGGTGCTATTTGGTTGAATCACTAGGTTCATATCTTTTTGCCAAATTTGGGAAATTTCCAGCCATTATTTTTTCTAATACTTTTCCAGGCCCACATTCTTCCTTTTCTTTTTCTGGAACTCTGATGACATAAATGTTAGATTTTTTGTTATAATCTCAAATGTACTTGAGGCTTTTTTTTTCTATTTATTTCATCTCTCATGTTCAAGTCAGGTAACTCCTATTTTTTTTATCTTCAAGGTCACTGGCTCTTTCTTTTGTCTTTTTCATGCTGACCTCATCCAGTAAGGTTTTCTAAGATTTGGGGTTTGGTGTTTTTTGTTTTTTGGTTACTGTACTGTTCAGTCTTAAAATTTCAATTAGTATCTTTTATATATCTTTTATTTCTTTGATGATACTTTCTATTTTTTTCATTTGTACAAAATCTGTTTATGATTGCTCCTTGAAGCATTTTGATAAAGACCATTGAAAAGTTCTCATTAGATAATCTCAATATCTGTATCATCTTGATGTTAGTATCTATTGATTGTCTTTTCTCATTCAAGTTGAGGTTTTCCTGGTTCTTGGTGTGATATGTGACCTTCTCATAGCTAAGAGTTGAAAGTCCTGGATTCCCACTGAGAAAGCACGGGGGTACTCTTTGTGGTTGAGTGGGGGTGCAAGTCTAGGCTTTCACTTAGCCCTCTCTGATCCCAACTTCATCTGCCCCATCTGAGGTATGGTCAGCCATGTTTTTCTTCCTTCCAGATTTTTTCTCTTTCTTTACCTTTAGAACCTGTAGTTTTTCATTAAGGTCTGAGATTTTCAATAAAAGATACTAGAGTCAGATGAGGGAAAGAAAGTGGTAAGCCTAAGTCATCAGTTTTTCTTTGTGCATGTGGAATATTTTTAAGATAAGTTACTTCTCATATACATAAAGTCCCTATAAACCATATTAAGGAAGTCAATCTCTTAGTTATTTTCTTCTTCTTCTTGGAGGCACAGTACCATTAGGAGAAACATAGAAGAAAAATACATTGTTTTTTTCGCTTAATTGAACAGAATTTTCGCTTAAATTGAACAGAAAAAAAAATTTTTTTTAATGAAAAAAAGCAAGAAAACAGCCAAAAAGAAAAGTGGAAATATTTTCTATTATGCTTTTATTCCTTATCTCAAGTTTGTTTTCTGGGTGCATTGGGCTTTCATTAATTTGACTGCTAAACTTTCATCATCCCCACCTATAATTTCTCCAGTGGACTGAACTTATTTAGAGTCCAAAGACACATAAGGAAATTAAATAAGAGGAGAAAATAAACTTGCCTATATAGTAGGAATGCAGAATATTTCATAAATCTAAAGAAATAGCCAAGATGTTTTTTTCTCATGATGTTTTTTGAAATAAGAAACAATCCCTTTTTTGCCAAAATGAATAAAGATGTATCTACTGTAGAAAAATTACAGTATTAACTTGAGTGTGTAAAATCCACACAGTTATTTCACGTCACATTATTGGAAGCAGGGAGAGATAAAATAATTAGCTTTCAAACTCTTTTCTGCAAATGCGCCTCATGAACAGAGTTCCAGAATTAGGAAGACAAAGCAAAAGAGAGTCATTTCTGGTCTTCACTTTTACTCTTCCTCCAAAACCTTTACTTATCTTTTAAACCCTAATTTGAGAGGGAAAAAAATTGGGTAAAGGACAAAATGGAAACAGTATTTGCAAAATCTATGGAAGTACAAGCTGTACTTTGCACAACTCAGTTTATAACCCGTTCTTGGAACATGCAAGAGAACCAATCACACAATTATCAGTATGTTTTTCTAAAGCACATATGCCACGACAAAGTAAATGCCACCACGATAAATGCGTATCATTTCGAGCAACATCATGTGAAGCATGCTATGATGCCCAGACAATTTCAGACAGCCAAACACCCTCTTCTCTCTCAATACACCCTCTTGGATATGCATCCATTTAATATGCCTAATACTTGGAAATGATATAATCCTAATGGAAAGGAATTATACTGAATTACTATGAAAGAAATAAACATCATGTCTTCACATGTTAAAGCAGAAAACGGTTTATAAAAAACTCTTTAAAATGTATCATACAGGGCTTACATTTAAGAAAGATCACACTCTATTATGTTGATTCACCTAATTCTATTTAGAATGTAGCTCTGAGAGATCATGTAGTCCAACCTTTGGTTTTACAGAAGAGGAGGCAGAGGTAATCTTCCACAGCAAATCTTCAGAAGTTTTTCTTTTTGTATTTAATATCAAATATATATACACACACATTCATACATGCTTCCATACACCTAAAGGATAGTGACAAATGAACAGAATCTTCTTTGATGTAGCAAAACTGTATCTCAAGGATAGTCCTTGAGTTGTCTTCTGGCTTCTGCCAACAGATTCACAACCTGATGCTTCAAAAAATAGTGGTTTCTCCTTTGTCTTTAAGAAAAACAGAGACTATGTTGGAAAGTGCTTCTGACTTGGCAGAATCCTATTGTCAATCCTTGGCATGTCGCATGGTTTTATGCAGGTCATGAGCCAGCTCAAGCATCAATTTCTTCATCTTACATTAGCAAGATAGTATATACTCTTTAGAATAGTGGTGAAGATAAAATTACAATAATAATTACAGTGTAATTCTGAATAAGGTCTACATTGCAGGTACTACTGTAAATTGGTATAACTTCTATGGAGAGCAATACAGCGTACTCAACAATTTCATCTCTAGGAATTTATCCTTCCATTATATTTACATATATACAAAATAACATTTGTATATGGCTGTTCACTGCATTATTGTTTGAAATGGCAAAAGTTTCAAAACAAATTAAGTATTCATCGGTAGTAGACTGGTTGAAAAAATCTGACACCATACAATGACGTTTTGGAGCAATTTTAAAAATATATTGCTTTGGAATGTTTTACAAGATGCATAGATTTTGGACAGACAGGAAAGTAGAAAGATGATAGATGAGATAGATAGATATGTCTGCATATACATAGACACTTGAAGAAAAAAAGTAAACTAAAGCACTTGTCCCTCCTGGAAGTGGCGGGGGACAGGAATAGAAGGGAGACTTACCTTTTTACTCTATGCCTTCTAATGCCTTCTGAACTATGTCCTGTGTGGAAGCATTGCCTATGCAAAGAAAAATTTAAAAAATTTTAAAATTTAATTACTGAAGGGACTGATAAAGACTACTTGGTTGTCTTTTTTTCTCTGTATGTTTGCTTTTGTTTGTATTTGCTTGTTGGACTTTCTAACACACATAAAGGCTAGGAGTAGTGAGTTAGAACCATCCTTTCCAAGAATAATTAAAAGCATTGAAGTCAGCACCAAGAATGATGTAATATTTTGCACCGAAATTGCTAAATTCAATCAGTGAACATAATTGTAGAAAAAGTTGACTCAGAGCTAACCACTATGTAAATGGTTGATTATAGTAGTTATTCTCAGTGGAACTGGCAAGTGTGTGTATTAAATTGTGGCTGGTTGGTGCATGGTAGAGAGAAGTTTTTTCTAAACATACACAAGCATAAACTTACACACACACATGCACACACACATGACATATGCACACACATATAGGCCTTGAGAGTCTGAAATTCATCTTACTCAGCCAATGAGAATCACTGATTTACAATAGGTGTGCGCCAAATCTGAATGCCATATAGAAGCTAAATATAAATACTAATTAAATAATTCTATAGTTTATTTACATATAAAATAAAAATCTGATTCAGTGATTTTTAGATTTGGCATTTCGCTGATTATTTTCTATTCCACAATACATTTACAAACACTCTTTTTTACTCTGCTTTTTGGCACTAATAGTTGGTGGAAGACATTATCTTCTAACTGTTGTCAGTCACAGATTAAGAAAGGTTTATGTAAGCAAATTTGTAAATGGAAGAAAAGACTCTGCCTAGTTAAGCAATGGCAGGGTGTCTCACCAGTGAGATCGGTTATCGTGAGAAGGAAATGTCCTCTGAGATATTTTGTGTTCATATATTTGTAACAGGAAGGGGAAAAACAGAATTGACTGAAATCACTTATGCTTCCAAAAAATAAGCATCATTTCTCTCTGGAGTGGATGGCCTTTTGTTTAGTAAGACACCTTGACAGGCCACTTGAGTTTCAATGCTGAAGCCCCCCAGAGCTTAGTTTAAACAAGGAGAGAGAAACAAACACCTATCTGAATTGCTCTACATTACAAAAATGAAAGGAGTGGAGGGAGTGTTTAGGAGCAGCCTGAAACGGGAGGAGAGTCCTGACAGAAACAAACAGGGACTATCAACCTGGAGGTCAGAAAAAGACCTGCGGAAAAGGTGAGGAGCATGAAATTCTTTACAGCCAGATTTTCAGTTAACTCTGTTAACACACACATCCTTGAATAACAATACTTCCAGAAAATAAGGGCTAGATGATCAAGGCCCAGAGAAAAGATGAGGTGAACCTCAAGAAGGCAGCAGAGTATAGGCATCTGAGGGTGTGGACGTAGCTAGCCACCTTTCTCTTTGATTGCACTACAGAAAGTTAACTTTTGGTGGGTTTACAGGGGTATAACAGGAGAATGGAAAAAACTAACATCTGGGTATAATACATGCTATAATTACCAATAATATTTCACTACAGTCACCTACCTAAAAAAAGGCAAATTGCCTCTTCCATTCTCCATCTCTTTGATCATCAGTAAAAACCAATATAAAAAAGTTTTTATGCATATTTGAATGCTCTAGATGCACTAAAGCAAAAATCAGTCTTTGAAGACCCCATCTGGGTAGTAGTTTGATTCTGGAATTTTGTTTTGCATGAATATGTAGATCACAAATGGGTTTCTTTAATTACCACCTGTATCACTTTTTTAATGGTTTTATAAAAATCATCATATTTAAAATTACACCAGGTTATTACTTCTGTTTAGGTAAATAAACCTGGTGTCTAAACCTAACAGTCTTACCTAATATTTTAAATTAATTTTTTTTAATGCCCATTATGCATCTCATATTATTCTCATGAAACATTTCATCAAAAGGGAAGATAAGACCAAGGGCATACCAGTCTAGTGGCAGTGACAGATACTAGATATTAGAGAGGCATATAGAAAATCTCTTTCATTGCAAACATTCTGAATGACATCCAAATCAAGATAAATATCAGATGGATCTGAATTTTTTTAAAAGGGCTGCAATCCATTAAGTGAACAGAAATGTTTTTCTGCAGTAGCTAAAAAGAGAGAGAGAGAAAAAGAAATATAGAACAACAAGGATAAAGAATAATCTAATAAGACAGGTTAGAAATTCTCGAGCTCAATATTTTATTACAAGCAAAATTAGTTTTTCTCCCTACTTAATAGAAATATTAATTGAAAAATCTCTCCAACAACAAACTATAGCTAAACAATTTCCAATTACCCATATTCATAAAGAGAGGCTCAAGGGTGTGATGTAATACAGAGATCGTTTACCTTTGCCTCATTATTAATTTCTAATTAAGATTTTGCATGGCCAGCCTAACCTGTTTATGTTCTTTGAGTATACCTCATCCAAAGGCCAAGAAATTATTAGGAGTATAATTTGTATTGTATATATTTTTGTTTTTGTATATATTTTTAGATTTTTCAAGTACCTTTTATTGAAGTATAACATTAAAAATGCCCAAATCATAATATACAGCTTCAAGAGTATTCACAGACTAAATTAAACTATTAACTTTAAACCAGGTCAAAAATAGAGTATTTCTTGCACCCCATCTTGTCTCCTGAATGTCCCAAGCCCCCACCACAATTCCCTGTTTCTGATGGTCACCTCTATTCTTTCTTTTTTTTGAGAGGGACAGAGTCTCGCTCTGCCACCCAGGTTGGAGGGCAGCGGCGCAATCTCGGGCTTACTAAAACCCCCGCCTCCCGGATTCAAACAATTCTCCTTGCCCCAGCCTCCCAAGTAGCTGGGATTATAGACACCTACAGCCATTCCTGGCTAATTTTTTTTTTTTTTAATTTTTAGTAGAGACAGGGTTTTGCCATGTTGGCCAGCCTGGATCAAACTCCTGATCTCAGGTCATCCGCCTGTCTCAGCCTCCCAAAGTGCTGAGATTACAGGAATGAGCCACTGCACCTTGCCACAAGTTGACCACCATTCTGACTTTAAATACTACATTAGTTTATATATATATATATATATATATATATATATATATATGTTAATCATATATTTCTAATTATTGGCATATATTGGTGTATAGAAATGTACTGATTTTTGTATGTTAATTATATATTTTATACATGTTAATTATATATTTATATATATTTTTATATATATAAATATATATATATTTTTTTGAGACATAGTCTCACTCTGTTGCCCAGCCTGGAGTGCAGCGGTGTGATCTTGGCTCACTGCCACCTCCACCTCCCTGGTTCAAGCGATTCTCCTGCCTCAACCTCCTGAGTAGCTGGGACTACAGGTGTGCACCACCACACCTGGCTAATTTTTGTATTTTTAAGTGGAGATGGGGTTTCACCATATTGGCCAGGCTGGTCTCGAACTCCTGACCTTGTGATCCACCTGCCTCAGCCTCCCAAAGTACTGTGATTACAGACATGAGCCACTGCGACCAGCCAGTTTTTTTATATTTTTGAACTTCATAGAAATGGAACCAGACAGTGTACACTCTTGTGTCTGGTTTTTTTGACTCGGTGGTGTGTTTTTAAGACTTATTCACATTGTTGCATGTAGTTGTTGTGTATTCACTCTCATTATTGTACAATGTTAATATATCATAATTAATTCATCCATTCTATAATTCACAGGTTGTTGGGTAGTTTAACCATTGTGCTATTAGGAAAAATGTTGCCACGAACACTCGTATGTCTTTTTATAAACTGATTTAAACATATCTTTGGCCATACGCCTAGGACTGGAATTATTTGGGTCATATATTCAACTTTAATAGATATTGACACAGAATTTCCCAAAATGGTCAGACCACTTTACATCCTCACCATCAGTGTATGACAGCTCTGGATACATTGCATCCTTTTTGATACTTGTTGTTGGATCTGGATTTTTCTTTCTTTCTTTTTAAATTTGGCTATTCTGCTGGTGCGTTGTGGTATATCACCGCATTTGTTTTTAACTGTTATTTTAGGTTCATGGGTACATGTGCAGGTTTGTTATATAGGTAAATTCATGTCACAAGGATTTGGTGTACAGATTATTTAGTCACCCAGATACTAAGCAGAATGCCTGATAGTTTTTATCAGCATTTTATAGATTCTCTCCTTCCTGTCACCCTCCACCCTCAAGTAGGCCCTGGTATCTGTTGTTCCCTTCTCTGTGTCCATATGTTCCCATTATTTAGCTTCCACTAATAAGTGAGAACATGCAGTATTTGTTTTTCTGTTCCTGCATTAGCTTGCTAAGGATAATGGCCCCCAGCACCATCCATGTTCCTGAAAAGGACATGATCTCTATTTTTTTTAGGGCTGCATCGTATTCCATGGTGTATATGTAAGATGTTTTCTTTATTTCTTTATCCAGTCTACTATTGAGGGGCATTTAGGCTGATTCCATATCTTTGCTATTGTGATAGTGCTGCAATGAACATTTGTGTGCATGTGTCTTTATGGTAGCGTGATCTATGTTCCTTTGGGTATATACTTAGTAATGGGATTGCTGGGTCAAATTGTAGTCCTGTTTTAAGTTCTTTGAGGAATCACTACACTGCTTTCCAAATGGTTGAACTAATTTGCACTCCCACCAATGTATTTAAGCCTTTCCTTTTCCTCAGGACCTCACCGACATCTGTTATTTTTTGACTTTTTAATAATAACCATTCTGACTTGTGTGAGATGGTGTCTCATGGTTTTGATTTGCATTTCTCTAATGATTAGTGATACTGAACATTTTTCATATGCTGTTGGCCATATGTATGTGTTTTTTTGAAGTGTCTTTTCATGTCCTTTGTCCACTTTATAATGGGATTGTTTGGTTTTTGCTTGTAAAATTAAGTTTCTTTTAGATTTATTTTAGATTAGTTATTAGACCTTTGTCAGAGGTATAGTTTGCAAATATTTTCTCCCTTTCTACAGGTTGCCTGTGTACTCTGTTGATAGTTTCCTTTGCTGTGTAGAAGGTCTTTAGTTTAATTAGATCCCATTTGTCAGTTTTAGTTTTGGTTGCAATCACTTTTGGTGTATTCATCATACAGTCTTTGCCAGGACCTATATCCAGAATGGTATTTCCTGGGTTGTCTTCAAGGGTTTTTATAGTTTTACATTTTATATTTAAGTCTTTAATCCATCTTGAGTTGATTTTTGTATATGGTGTAAGGAAGGGGTTCAGTTTCAATCTTCTGCATATGGCTAGCCAGTTTTCCCAGCACCATTTATTAAATATGGAGTCCTTTCCCTATTACTTATTTTTGTCAGCTTTGTGAAAGATCAGAGGGTTGTAGGTGTGCAGCATTATTTCTAGGCTCTCTATTCTGTTGCATAGGTCTTTGTGTCTGTTTTTGTACCAGTATCATGCTGTTTTGGTTACTGTACCCTGTAGTATTGTTTGAAGTCAGGTAGTATGATGCCTCCAGCTGTTCTTTTTACTTAAGATTTTCTTGGCTATGCGGGCTCTTTTGTGGTTCTATATGAATTTTAAACTAGATTTCTCTAGTTCTGTGAAGAATGTCATTGGTAGTTAGATAAAAATAAGATAGAATCTATACATTGCATTGGGCAGTATGTCCATTTTAACAATAATTGATTCTTCCTATACATGCGTATGGAATGTTGTTCCATTTGATTGTGTTATCTCTGATTTCTTTGAGCAGTGCTTTGTAATTCTCATTGTAGAGATCTTTTGCCTTTCTGATTAGCTATATTCCTAGGTTTTATTTTATTTATTTTATTTTATTATTTGTGGTTATTGTGAATGGGACTGTTTTCTTGATTTGGCTCCAGCTTGGACATTGTTGTTGTATAGAAACGTTAATGATTTTTGTATGTTAATTTTGTATCCTGAAACTGCTGAAGTTGTTTATGAAATCTATGAGCTCTTGGGCAGAGATTATGGGGTTTTATAGATACAGAATCATGTCATTTGCCAACAGGGATAGTTTGACATCCCCTCTTCCTATTTGAATGGCTTTTATTTCTTTCTCTTCCCTGATGACTCTGACCAGAATTTCCAGTACTGTGTTGAATAGGAGTGGTGAGAATGGGCATGCTCATACACTGCCAGTTTTTATGGAAATGCTTCCAGCTGTTAGTCATTCAGTATAATATTAGCTGTAGGTTTATCATAGATGGTTATTATTCTCAAATATGTTCCCTGAGGAACATTTTGAGGGTTATTGAGGGTTTAAGGTTTTAAACATGAAGGGATGCTAAATTTTATAGAAAGCCTTTTCAGCATCTATTGAGATGATCATATGGTTTTTGTTTTTAGTTTGTGTATGTGATGAATCACATTTATTGATTTGTGTATGTTGAACCAACTTTGCGTCCCAAGGATGAAGCATACTTCATCAAGATGGATTAGCTTTTTGAGGTATTGCTACGTTCAGCTTGCTAGTATTGTGTTGAGGATTTTTGCATCAATATTCATCAAGAATATTGGCCTGAGGTTTTCTTTTTTTATTGTCTCTGCCAGGTTTTGGTATCAGAATGATGCTGGCCTTATAAGATGAGTTAGGAAGGAGTCCCTCCTCCTCAATTTTTTGGAATAATTTCAGTAGGAATGGTACCAGTTCTCCTTTGAACATGATGAATCCTTCTGGTCCTGGGCTTTTTATGGTTGGTGGGCTACTGATTACAGATTCAATTTCAGAGCTTGTTATCGCTCTTTACAAGGATTCAGTTTCTTCCTGGTGCAGTCTTGGAAGGGTGTATGCATCCCAGGAATTTATCCACTTATTCTAGATTTTCTAGTTTGTGTGCATAGAGGGGTTCACAGTAGCCTCTGATGGTTATGTGTATTTCTGTGAGGTCAATGGTCACGCCCCCTTTGTCATTTCTAATTGTGTTTATTTGGGTCATCTCTCTTTTCCATTTATTAGTCTAGCTAGCAGTCTAGTTATCTTGTTAATTGTTTTTTAAAATACAAAGTCCTGGATTTATTGATTTTTTCTATGGATTTTCATGTCTCTCTCCAGATCTGATTTTGGTTATTTCTTGTCTTCAGCTAGTTTGGGAGTTGGTTTGTTCTTCCTTCTCTAGCTCTTCTCATTGTGATGTTACGTTGTTAATTTGAGATCTTTCTAACTTTTTGATACAGGCATTTAGCACTATAAATTTCCCTCTTAAAATGGCCTTAGCTGTGTCCCAGAGATTATGATATATTGTATCTTTGTCCTCATTACTCCAAAAGAACTTCTTGATTTCTGCCTTAATTTCATTATTTATCCAAAAGTCATTCCGGAGCAGGTTGTCTAATTTCTAAATAATTGTGTGGTTTTGAGCAATTTTCTTAGTCTTGATTTCAATTTGTATTGCTCTATGGTCCAAGAGTGTGGTTAGTATGATTTCATTTTTTGAATTTGCTGAGGATAGTTCTATGTCTGATTGTGTGGTAGATTTTAAAACATGTGCCATGTGGCAATGAGAAGAATATAAATTCCATTGTTTGAGGATGAATAGTTCTGTGGAGGTCTGTTAGGTCCATTTGATCAAGTGTTGAGTACAGGTCCTAATTATCTTTGTTAATTTTCTGCCTCAATAATCTGTCTAACACTGTCAATAGGGTGTTGAATTCTCCCACTATTATTGTGTGGGAAGTCTCCCACTATTATTTCATAGGTCTCTAGGAACTCGCTTTATGAATCTGGCTGCTTCTGTGTTAGGTACACATATATTTAGTATAGGTAGGTCTGGTTGTTGAACTCTTTACCATTATGTAATGCCTTTCTTTGTCTTTTTTGATCATTGTTGGTTTAAAGTCTGTTTTGGGCTGGGTGCAGAGGCTCATACCTGTATTCCCAGCACTTTGGGAGGCCAAGGTGGGTGGACCACTTGAGGTCAGGAGTTCAAGACCATCCTGGCCAACATGGTGAAACTTCATCTATACTAAAAATACAAAAAATAGCTGGATATGGTGGCAGGTGCCTGTAGTCCCAGCTACTCAGGAGGCTGAGGCAGGAGAATTGCTTTAACCTGGGAGGCAGAGGTTTCAGTAAGCTGACATTACATCACTGTTCTCCAACCTGGGCAAAAGAGCAAGACTCCATCTCAAAAAACAAAAATAAAAAAATAAAGTCTGTTTTGTCTGAAATTAGGATGCAACCTGTACTTTTTTCTGATTTCCGTTTACTTGGTAGATTTTTTTCTCCATCTCCTTATTTTGAACCCGTGGGTGTCACTGCATATAAGATGGGTCTCTTGATGACAGCATACAGTTGTGTCTCACTTCCATATCTAGCTTGCCACTCTGTGCCATTTAATTGGGGCATTTAGTCCATGTACATTCAAGGCTACTACAGATATGTGTGGATTTGGTCTGTCATCATGTTTTCAGCTGATTATTATGCAGATTTGTTTGTGTAGTTGCTTTATAGTGTCACTAGTCTGTGTACTTAAGTATGGTTTTGTATTTGCTGATAACATTCATTCCTTTCCATACTTAATGTTCCTTTCAGGAGCTGTTGTAAAGCAGGTTTAGTGGTAAAGAATTCCCTTAGCATTTGCTTGTCTAAAAAGGATCTTATTTCACCTTCACTAGTGAAGTTTAGTTTGACTGGACATGAAATGCTTGGTTGAAGTCTTTGTTTTTAAATAATATTGTATATAGGCCCTCAATCTCTTCTGGCTTACAGGGTTTCTGCTGAAAGGTTCACTGTTAACCTAATGGGGTTCCCTTTGTAGATAACCTACCCTTTCTCTCTACCTGCGTTTAACATATTTTCTTTCATTTTGACTTTGGAAAATCTGATGATTATGCATCTTGGTGATGATCTTCTTATATAGTATCTTGCAACGGTTCTCTGCATTTTCTGATTTGAATGTTGGCCTCTCTAGTGATGTTGGAGAAGTTTTCATGGACAATATTCTAAAATATGTTTTCCAAGTTGCTTACTTTCTCCGTCTCTTTCAAGAACACCAGTGATTCACAGATTTGGCCTCTTTGCAGGATCCTGTATTTCTCAGAAGTTTTGTTTGTTCCTTTTCATTCTTTTTTCTTTATTTCTGCCTACCTTATTTCAGAAAGCCTGCCTTCAAGCTCTGAGACTCTTTCCTCAGCTTGGCCTATTCTGTGGTTAATATTTGCAATTTAACATTGCACTTCTAACCTTTATTTTCCTGAAAGTTATTGAGGTCAAATTTGTCTTTTCGATGTTCTCTTTTGTAAAGTATCTATCTTTTACCCATTTTTCGATTATATTTTTCAATCAATAAATTGAAAAATGTCAAAAGACTGAAGCATCAAATCTTTTACCCATTTTTCCATTATATATTTTATCTTTTACATATTGATTTATAGGAGCTCAGTATATGTCAGACATTGGTCTTCTGTTAGATATATTCATTGCAAACATCTACTTTTAAACCATGGCTTGTTTTCTCAATATTTTCTAGATCTGAGATTTTTAAATTTATATTATAATTCCATATACATAACCAATAGTCAATTTTTCCAAGAAAACAAGTAGATAACACCGAGGAAATATGGCTTAGGCATACTGAGAAGACTGCAATAATATTTCTTAGAAACTGTAATACACCATTTAACCTACTGTTTCTCAGTTTTCTCATCTTCAGAGTGTATTTGTTTTGTATAAAATCTCTCATAATGTTAAACTATCTAGAATAGCAAAAAAAGGTAGTAGGAGAGATTAATAAATGCTAACTAATAACAACAAAATGTATAAAAATGGACTAGGGCTGGCCTTTTGAGCTGATACACCTTGATATATTCTTCTACAGAACACTTTTGTAAACTCTGCACAAAGAGAAATTTTGTTAAAATCTATTGCAGGAAACAATTACCCTCAGCATAGGATGGAGTATATAAAACAAAGAGGAAAGAGCTCAGTGAATTATCCATACAAGTCACCCAAACTTCACATTGATTTAAGAACAAATAGTGTCTGGTGAGTGTTTGATTAACCACACTGTCAGCAACATCAACTTAAATGCAAAATATGTAAAGAAAATATAGTACTGAGATGCTGTGGCTGCCACATGGCTGACTGTTACTTGGGAACTCTGAGAGAAGCTCCACACAGGGCTACCATTACATTCTGAAAAGGCATATCATGTCCTGACCAAAAGAAAAGAAAAATCCAGTGAAGCTTACATTGCTGTCAATAAATTAGGCACTAATTGTCAAGGTCCCTGCCCCTGTTGCCCGACGCTGGGAAGAAAACTTAAATTCTGGGCTCACCCCAGGGATGTGGTATGATTCCCAGGAATGCCAACCTAAGATCTGCAGCCAGAACTCAAATGGGAGAGGAGCCCATTCTCTGAGAACACTGACAGGGAGCATGGCTACAAACACAAGAAAATACAGAGGAGCCATGTGACTCAACAAGCATCTACCTACTGGTGATTACACTTAAGTGCCATCTACTGGATCACAGTCCAAACTCCAAAACCAAAAATACTTTGCTAATATACTCCTTCCCATCTCTCCAACTTGTGAAACCAAGGACAAGAATTCAGTGATAAATAAAGACCCTGCACAAAGCCATCGCCCTCTGAAAACATCCAGAAATGAAGACAACTGACTATACTCAAATCAAACCACAGTTAAAGGAACGTCAGCTCACACAGATAAGAAACAACCAGCATGAGAACTCTGGCAACTTAAAAAGCCAGTGTCTTCTTTCCTCCAAATGACCTCACCATTTCCCCCAGCAATTATTCTTAATCATGCTGAAATGACTGAACTAACAGACATAGAATTCAGAATATGGATAGGAATGAAGATCACTGAGATTCATGAGAAAGTCAAAATCTAATTAAAGAAATGTAAGGATTACAATAAATTATACAGCAGCTGAGAGAAAAAAATAGCTATTTTTACAAAGAACCAAACTGATTCAATAGAGCTGAAAAGCACACTACAAGAATTTCCTAACACAACTGCAAGTATTCATAGCAGAATAGACCAAGCTAAAGACAAATTCTCAGAGCTCAAAGATTTGTTCTCTAAACTAACTCAGATAGACAAAAGTAAAGGGAAAAAAAAAAAAAGAACAAATTCTCCAAGAAATATGGGATTATGCAAAAAAAGAGGAATGAACAAATTCTCCAAGAAATATGGGATTATGCAAAAAAAAGAGGAATGAACAAATTCTCCAAGAAATATGGGATTATGCAGAGACCAAATCTGTGACTCATTGACAGTTCCTGTAAAAAATGAAGAGAAAACAAGTAACTTGGAAAACATATTTGAGGATATTATCCATGAATATTTCCCCAACCTCACTGGAGAGGCCAACATTCAAATTCACAAAATGCACATTACTCCTGTGGGATGCTATACAAGACAATCACCCCCAAAACACATAGTAATCAGATTCTCCAACGTTGACATGAAAGAAAAAATGTTAAAGACTTTAGAGAGAAGGGGCAGATTACCTACAAAGGAAAAGCCATCAGGCTAACAGCAAACATTTTAATGGAAATGTTCCAAGCTACAAAAGATTGGGGGCCTATATCCAGCATTTTTAAAGAAAATAAACTCCAACTGAGAATTTCATATCCAGCCAAACTAAGCTTCATCAGTGAAGCTGAAATAAGATCCCTTCCAGACAAGCAAATGCTCATTTGTCACCACAAGAGCTGCCTTACAAGAGGTCCATAAGGGAGTGCTAAATATGAAAATTAAAGATCATTACTGGCTGCCTCAAAAACACACTTAAGTACAAAGGCCATTGTCATTGATGCTATAAAGCAACTACACAAGATATAGCTCTCTCTCTCTCTCTCTCTCTCTCTCCCCCCCCAATATATACATATATATATAGCTATAAAGCAGGTATTATGTTAGCTGCATAATAATCAGCTAACAACATGATGACAGGCTCAAATTCATGAATATCAGTATCAAACTTCAATGTAAATTAGCTAAATGCTCCAATTAAAAGGCACAGAATGGCAAGTTGGATAAAGCAAAACCCAAACTTATGCTGTCTTCAAGAGACCCATCTCACATGCAATGACATCCCTACCTTCTAAGTAAAGGAATAAAGAAAAATCTACCAAGCAAACAACAACAACAACAAAGCAGATAATGCTATCCTAATTTCAGAAGAAACAGACTTTAAACCAACAAGGATCAAAAAAGACAAAGAAGGGCATAATGGTAAAGGGCCTAATTTAACAACATTTTAACTATCTTAAATATATATTCTCCCAATACAGAAGAACCTGGATTTATAAAACAAGTTCTTAGATGCTTACAAAGAGACTCAGATAAACATTTCCATACCATCATACATTTCTCAAGGGCAAGATACTGTCTGTCCCAAGGCTGTGATTACTGTTCACAATTACTAGTTTCTCTTCCTATGGGAGAATTATATCTCCCTGTCCTGTTGGACTCAGATTTGGCCTTGTGACTTACTCTGGCAAATAAAATGTAAGGGGAAGGGACATATGTCACTTCTGGGATAAGTCTTTGAAGGCATGTTCTCTTTTCCCTGCCCTATATTATGGAAATCTGTGTTGGGTTGGAGCTTCCATTAGCCTGGGTCCCTTCTGTTGAGCTGCCATGCTCCACTGGACACGTTGAATGAGTCAGAAATAAACTCTGTTACTGCAAACTGTTAAGATTTAAGTTGTTTATTTCTATAGCAAAACTTCACCCATCCTGATTGATAGTACCCACATACTTTAGAATAAATGTTTCCATCCCACCAAAATTCACATGTTGAAATCCTAACCCCTAAGACACTGGCATTAGGATGTGGGTCATTTGGGAGATGATTAGGTCATGAGGGTGAGCCCACATGAAAAGGATCATACCCTTATAAAATAAATCCCAAAGAACTCCCTTTTCCTTATACCATGTAAGGACACAGTGAAAGGACAGCCATCTGTGAACCAGGAAGAAGCTGGGACCAGACACACAATATAACCATGCCCTGTTATTGAACTTCTTAGCCTCCAGAACTGTGAGAAACAAATTTCTGTTATTCATAAGCCACCTCATATGTGGCATTCCGTTATAGCAGCCTAAATGGACCAAGACCATACAAAACCAAAGAAAAAATGCATGACACAAAATTGTGCTCTATAAAATATCAGGTTTTGTATGGGAGGTGTTTAAAGACAAGGCAGGCTAGAATTGAGAAACATGCAGAAAGAAAGCAGTATCAGCCATCACTGATATTTTCACTCTCTATTCTCCTAACAATCATTACCTTCCTGATAATGAGTATTCTATCCATTACTGGTGGAAAAATTTCAAAGGAAATTTATATGTAATGTGAAAATATAGAAAATATCTGATTGCCAATTTATCTAAAAAAAAGTTTAGAGAAACACACAAAGTAGTGTTTTGAAACTTAAAAAATAACTTTCTTATGAGTAATAGTAAGATAATAATGATGGACAAAGGAATTAATGTTTACTATACAAAGCAAATATTAAGGACTTTCTATGACTAGAGCAAATAATCATTATTCTTACACTGTTTTTGTAAATGAAAAACAGCCATTTACTATAAACAGTGTAAGAATATTTCTCTAGTGTAGTCTAACCAATGTTCACACCAAAACAAACTATAGAATTGATGTAATTTGCTTTGGAGAATTCTAAATGAAATGTAAGACATTCTTTGGAAAAGCAAGTTCTTCTTACTTCGAAATTACCATGACCAACAGTGATCCACTGAGTACAAATCACTCACCAGAACAATAACAAATCAGCCATTTTAATATTGTAGGAAATAGCTTTGTCAGTTACTGCAGCTGAAAGTAAACCAGGATTATTCAGAGAAAAACTTCTTTTGGTGAATTTTTTCCTGTTTCTGCATAAAATGTTTTCCTTCTCTTCTATCAATTTACTTTAAACATATATATGCTTTATCAAACAAAAAATAGGATAATGAAAATTAAAATAGTAAAACAGAAAGATACAAGAAATGAAAGGTAATCCAGGGGCAGAGCAAGGAGGCAAAATAAAAGCCCACACCATTCATCCACCCTGCAGGAACACCAAATTTTGACAACCATCTGCACACAGAAAAGAACCATCACAAAAAGCAAAAATTAGGTGAGCAATGGCAGTACATGGTTTTAACTTCATATCACTGAAAGAGGTACTGAAGAGGGTAGGAGAGTCAGTCAAATTGTTGACACCACTCTTCCCCCCATCCCTCAAATAATGGCCGTGTCATGCAGAGTCTGTGCACTTGGGGAGGGAGAGAGCAGTGACTGGCATACTTTACATTGAATTCACTGCTGCACAGTCACTGCAGAGATCAAAGAAATGCTGGGCTCAGCCAGCACCCATGCATGGAGCAAGCATTTGGACCAGACCTAGCCAGAGGTGAACACTCATCGCAACAGTGAGAACTTGAGTTTTTCAGAAAGCCTCACTACCATGGGCCAAAATGTTCTGGGGTCCTTGTGAAAAGCAGTCTAGGACACAAGGACTGCAACTCCTAGATAACACCTAGGGCTGGGTTGGGCTCAGAGCCAGTGGACGAATCTTGGAGGAACCTTTCAGGCAGAGAACTCACAATAGCTAGTTTGAGGAAACTCGAAGAAATTCAAGATAATGCAGAGAAGGAATTCAGGATTCTATCAGATAAATTTGACAAAGAGATTGAAATAATTAGAAATAATAAAACAGAAAATTCTGGAACTAAAAATTGCAGTGGCATACAGAAGAATGCATCAGTCTTTTAACACATACTTGATTAAGCAGAAGAAAGAATTAATAAACTTGAAAACAGGCTACTTGGAAATACACACAGGAGACAAAAGAAAAAAATAATAGAAAGAAAGCATGGCTACAAGATCCAAAAAATAGCCTCAAAAGGGCAAATCTAACACTTATTGACTCTAAAGGGGAGGTAGAGAAAGAGATGGGGGTAAAAAGTTTGTTCAAAGGGATACTATCAGAGAACTTCCTAAACCTAGAGAAAGATATCAACATTCAACTACAAGAAAATTATAGCACACCAAGCAGATTTAACTGAAAGACTATCACAAGGCAATCAATAATCAAGTCCCCAACGGTTGAGAATAAAGAAAGGATCCTAAAAGCAGCAACAGAAAAGAAACAACAAACAGTGGAGCTCCAATACATTTGGCAGCAGACCTTTCAGTGGAAACCATATGGGCTAGGAAAGAGTGGCATGAAATATTTTTTTTTTTTTTTTTTTTTTTTTTTTTGAGACGGAGTCTCGCTCTGTCGCCCAGGCTGGAGTGCAGTGGCGGGATCTCGGCTCACTGCAAGCTCCGCCTCCCGGGTTCACGCCATTCTCCTGCCTCAGCCTCCCAAGTAGCTGGGACTACAGGCGCCCGCCACTACGCCCGGCTAATTTTTTGTATTTTTAGTAGAGACGGGGTTTCACCGGCATGAAATATTTAAAGTGCTGAAGGAATAAAAAAAACTTTGACCCTAGAATACTATATCCAGTGAAAATATCCTTCAAGTATGAAGAATATTCCCAGAAAAACAAAAGCTGAGGGATTTCACAAACACTAGACGTCCTGCAAGAACAAGCTCTTCAATCTGAAAGAAAAGATGTAAATGAGCAAGAAGAAATCATGAGAAGATACAAAACTCACTGGTAATAGTAAGCACAAAGAAAAACACAGAATATTATAACATGGTAATTGTGGTATGTAAACCACTCTTATCTGAAATAAGACAGGCAGACAAGAATAGAGAAACAATGAACAAAATATCCAAGAAACATGGAACCATGTAAAGACACCAAACCTATGACTGCTTGGGGTACCTGAAACAGATAGGGAGAATAAAACCAAGTTGAAAAAAATACTTCAGGTTACCATCCAGGAGAACTTCCCCAACCTAGCAAAACAGGCCAACATTCAAATTCAAGAAATGCAGAGAGCCCCAGTAAGATACTCCACAAGAAGATCAACCCCAGAAAACATAATCATCAGATTCTCCAAGGTTTAAATGAAAGAAAATATGTTAAGGGAAGCCAGAGAGAAGAAGGCCAGGTCACGTACAAAGGGAAACTCATCAGGTTTACAGTGGACCTCTTGGCAGAAACCCTACAAGACAGAAGAGATTGAGGGTAAATATTCAACTTTCTTAAAGAAAATAATTTCCAACCCAGAATTTTATATCTGACCAAACTAAGCTTCATAAGCAATGGAGAAATAAAATCCTTTTCAGATAAACAAATGCTGAGGCAATTCATCACCATCAGGCCTGCCTTGTAAGAGCTCCTAAAGGAAGTACTAAATATGGAAAGGAAAAAACATCACCAGCCACTATAAAAACACATTGAAGTACACAGACCAGTCACACTGTAATGCAACCACATAAGTCTGGAAAATAACCAGCTAGCATCATGATGACAGTATCAAATTCACACATAACAATGTTAACCTTCAATGTAAATAAGCTAAATGCGCAGATTAAAAGACACAGAATGGCAAGCTGGATAAAGAGTCAACACCCATTGGTATGCTGTCACCAAGAGATCCATCTCATGTGCAAAGCCATACATAGGCTCAAAATAAAGGGATGAAGGAAAATTTACCAAGCAAATGGGAAGCAGAAAAAAGCAGGGGTGACCATCCTAGTTTTTGACAAAACAGACTTTAAACCAACAAAGATCAAAAGAGACAAAGAAGGGCACTACGTGGTAAAAGGTCAATTCAACAAGAAGAGCTAACTATCCTAAATATATACGCACCCAATACAAGAGCACCCGGATTCATAAAGCAAGTTCTTAGGAACCTACAAAGAGACTTAGACTTCCGCACAATAATAGTGGGGGACTTCAACACCCCATTGACAATATTAAATCATCAGAAGAGAAAATTAACAGATATTCAAGACCTGAACTCAGCTCTAGATCAAGTGGACCTGATAGATATCTATAGAAATCTCCATCAAAAAACAACAGAATATACATTCTTCTCATCCCAAATGGAACTTACTCTAAAATTAATCACATAATCAGAAGTAAAACACTTCTCACCAAATGCAAAGGAATTGAAATCATAACAGTCTCTCAGACCACAGCACAATCAAATTAGAACACAAGATTGAGAAATTCACTCAAAACCACACAATTACATGGAAATTGAACAACCTGCTCCTGAATGACTCTTGGGTGAATAATGAAATTAAGGCAGAAATCAAGACGTTCTTTGAAACTAATGAGAACAAAGAGAAATGTACCAGAATCTCTGGAACACAGGTAAAGCATTGCTAAGAGGGGAACTTATAGCACTAAATGCCCACATCAAAAAGCTAGAAAGCTCTCAGTGTAATCACCTAACACCTCAACTAAAAGAATTAAAGATCCAAGAGCAAACAAATCCCAAAGCTAGCAGAAGACAAAAAATAACCAAGATCAGAGCTGAACTGAAAGAGATAGACACATAAAAAACCCTTCAAAAAATCAACAAATCCAGGAGTTGGTTTTTTGAAAAAAAAATAATAAAATATATAGACTGCTAGCTAGACTAATAAGGAATAAAAAAGAGAAGAATCAGATAGATGCAGTCAGAAATGATAAGAGGAATGTCACCACTGACCCCACAGAAATACAAACAACCATCAGAGAATACTATAAATATCTCTATGCATATAAACTAGAAAATCTGGAAAAAAATAGATAAATTTCTGCATATATGCACCCTCCCAAGACTGAACCAGGAAGAAATTGAATCCCTGAATAGACCAATAATGAGTTCAGAAATTGGCAGTAATAAATTACCTACCAACTAACCAAAAACAACCCCAAGGACCAGACAAAATCACAGCTGAATTCTGCCAGAGTTAAAAAGAAGAGGTGACACCATTTCTACTAAAACCATTCAAAAAAATTAGAAAGGAAGGACTTTCCCTAATTCATTCGATGAGGCCAGCATCATCCTGATAGCAAAACCTGGCAGAGACACAACAACAACAACAAAAAACTTCAGGCCAATATCTCTGATGAACATCGAAGCAAAAATCCTGAACAAAATGCCAAATCTAGCAGCACATCAAAAAGTTTATCCACCATGATTAAGCTGGCTTCATCTTCAGAATGCAAGGTTGGTTCAACATACACAAATCAATAAATGATTCATCACATAAACAGAACTAAAGACAAAACCACAAGATTATTTCAATAGATGCAGAAAATGCTTTTGATAAAATTCAGCATCTCTTCATGCTAAAAACTTTCAATAAACTAGGTATTGAAGGAATATACCTCAAAATAATAACAGCCATATATGACAAACCCACAGCCAATATCATACTGAATGGGCAAAAGCTGAAAGCATTCCCCTTGAAAACCAGCACAAGACAAGGATGCTGTCTCTCACCACTCCTATTCAACATAGTATTGTAAGTTCTGGCCAGGGCAATCAGGCAAGAGAAAGAAATACAGAGTACTCAAATGGGAAGAGAGGAAGTCAAATTATTTTTGTTTGCAGATGACATGATGCTATATCTAGAAAACTCCATAATCTCAGCCCAAAAGCTTCTTAAGCTGATAAGCAACTTCAGCAAAGTCTCAGGATATAAAATCAATATGCAATAATTACTAGCATTCCTATACACCAACAACCATCAAGCCAAGAGCCAAATCATGAATGAACTCCCATTTGGAATTGCTACAGAAAGAATAAAGTGCCTAGGAATACAGCTAACGGAGAAATGAAGGACCACTTCAAGGAGAACTACAAACCACTGCTCAAAGAAATCAGAGAGGACACAAACAAATGGAAAAATATCTCATGCTCATGGAGAGGAATAATTAATATGATGAAAATGGCCATACTGCCCAAAGTAATTTATAGATTCAATGACATACCCATTAAACTACTGTTGACATTCTTCACAGAATTAGAAAAAAGCTATTTTAAAATTCATTTGAAAACAAAAAAGGACCTACGAATAGCCAAGACAATTCTAAGCAAAGAGAACAAAGCTGGAGGCATCACACTACCCAACTTCAAACTATACTACAAGGCTACATTAATCAAAACAGCATGGTACTGGTTCAAGAACAGTCACATAGACCAATGGAACTGAATAGAGAACTCAGAAATAAGACTGACAAATAAAACCATCTGAGCTTTGACAAACCTGACAAACCTGAGAAAAACAAGCATTAGGGAAATGATTCCCTATTCAATAAATGGTTCTGGGATAACTGGCTAGCAATATGCAGAAGATTAAAACTAGACCCTTTCCTTACACCATATATAAAAATCAGCTCAAGATGGATTAAAGACTTAAATGTAAAACTCAAAACTATAAAAAAAAAAAAAACCTAGGAGAAGATCTAGGCAATACCATTCAGGACATAGGCATGGGCAAAGATTTCATGATGAAGACACTAAAAGCAATTGCAACAAAAGCAAAAATTGACATATGGGATCTAATTAAACTAAAGAGCTTCTGAACAACAAAAGAAACTATTATCAGAGTAAACGGACAACCTACAGAATGGGAGAAAATGTTTGCAATCTATCCATCTGACAAACATCTAATATCCAGAGTCTACAATGAACTTGGACAAATTTACAAGAAAAAAAACAATTTCATTAAATAGTGGGCAAAGGACATGAAAATACACTTCTCAAAAGAATATATACCTCCAGCCAACAAACATAAGAAAAAAAGCTCAGCATCACTGATCATTAAAGAAATGTTCATCAAAGCCACAAATCAATACCATCTCATGCCAGTCAGAATACCTTTTTTTTTTTCCCTCAAGACAGAGTCTCACTCTGTCTCCCAGGCTGGAGTGCAGCGGTGCAATCTTGGTTCACTGCAACCTCACCAGAATGGCTATTGTTAAAAAGTCAAAAAACAACAATGCTGGCCAGGTTGTAAAGAAAAACTAATTTACACTTCCACCAATGCTTTTCACTGATGGTAGGATTGTAAATTAGTTCAACCATAGCGGAAGAGAGTGTGTTGATTCCTCAAAGACCTAGAGGCAGAAATACCATTTCACCTAGCAATCCCATTGCTGGGTATATACCTAAAGGAATATAAATCATTCTATTATAAAGATACATGCACGCATATGTTCACTGAAGCACTGTTCACAATAGTAAAGACATGGAATCAACCTAAATGCCCATCAGTGATATACTGGATAAAGAAAATGTGGAACATATACACCATGGAATACTATGTAGCCATAAAAAAGAATGAGATCATGTCCTTTTCAGGGACATGGATAGAGTTGGAAGCCATTATCTTTCAGCAAACTAACACAGAAACAGAAAACCAAACACAACATGTTCTTACTTATAAGAGGAAGCCGAATGATGAGAACACCTGCACAAATGGGGAGGAACAACATACCCTGGAGCCTGCTGGGGGGTGGTGGGATGAAGGAGAGCATCAGGAAGAATAGCTCATGGGTGCTGGGTTTAATACCTAGGTGATGGGAACATCTGTAAAACAAACCACAATGGTATGCATTTACCTATTTAGCAAACCTACACATCCTACACACGCACCCCTGAACGTAAAATAAAAGTTGAAGAAAAAATTTACAAATTAAAATAAAATCAAAGATGTAAAAGGAGATGTTACAACTGATACTGCAGAAATTCAAAGGATCATTAGCAACTACATACTAATAAATTGGAAATCTAGAGGAAATGGGTAAGTTCCTAGACACATACAACCTACCAAGATTATACCATGAAGAAATCCAGAACCTGAACAGAACAATAATAAGTAATGAGATCAAAGCCATAATGACAATTATCTCAGAAAAGAAAAGCCTGGGACCCAATGACTTCACTTCTGATTCTATTAAACGTTTAAAAAAGAACCAAAACCAATCTACTCAAACTATAACAAAAAACAGAGGATAAGGAAGTACTTCCAAACTCATTTATGAGGTCAGTATTACCCTGATACCAAAACCAAAGGCACATCAAAAAAAGAAAACTAAAGGTTAACATCTCTAATGAATATTGATGCAAAAATCCTCAACAAAATGCTGGCAAACAAAATTCAACAATACATTTTAAAAATAATTCATCATAGCCAAGTGAGATTTATTCCAGGGATGCAAGGATGCTTCGACATGTGCACATCAATCAATGTGAATTATCACATCAGAAGAATGAAGAACAAAAACCTTATTATCATTTCAATTCATGCTGAAAAAAGCATTTAATAAACTTTAACACCACTTCATAATAGAAACTCTCGAAAAACTGGGTATAGAAGGGATGTACCTCAACATAATAAAAGCCATTTATAACAGACCCACAGCTAGTATCATATGGCATGGGGAAAAATTGAAAGCTTTTCTCTAAGACCTGGAACATAACAAGGATACTCACTTTCTTCACTATTATTCAACATAGTACTGGAAGTCCCATCTACAGCAATCAGACAAGTGAAAGAAATAAAGGACATCCAAATTGAAAAGGAGAAAGTCAAATTATCTTTGTTTGCAGATGATATGAGCTGGACATTGGGTAATAATAAAAGGGTCAATTGGCCAAGAAGTCATCACAATCTAAATGACAGCTACAAAATATCTGAAGTAAAAACTGATAGAACTGAAAAGAGAAATATTTAAATCCACAATTATAGTCATAGACTTCAACACCCATCTACCAACAATTGATGGACCAACTATGCAGAAAATCAGGAAGGATATAAAAGAACTCAACCAAAGAATCGAATTAACACTTATAGAATATTACACTAAAAAATAGCAGAATACAAATTATTACCAAGCACTCAGAACGTATACCAAGATAGTCTATATCATGGGCCACAAAACAAATTTCATGTAATTTAAGTCACATACAGTGTGTATTATGCCCATGATAGAATCACACTAGAAATCAATAACAGAAAGATAACCAGGAAATCTACAAGTATTGGAAACTAAACATAGTCTTCTAAATAATTTGTAGGTCGAAGTGGAATTCTCAACCAAATTTAAAAATACACTGAAATGAAAGAAAATTAGAATACAGTATATCAAAACTGGGATGTAGTAAAGCAGTGCTAAAGCAGGGCCGTTTATAACATAAATAAATTATTTAAGTTCCAATATCAAAAACCTAGATAAAGAAGATCAAAATAAATCAAAAACAAGCAGAAGGAAGGAAGTAATAAAGATAAAAAACTAATTCCCCCAAAATGTAAACTACCAAAACTCACCATGTGTGAAATATATGAGTTGCCCTATAATTAAGAAAATTCCATTAATAATTTTTTAAAACCTCCTCAAAAAAGATGAGGATTTCAATGGAAAATTCTCCCAAATGTTTAAAGAAGAATTAACACCAATTCTATATAATCTCTTCCAGAAAGTAGAAGAGGAAACACTTCCCAACTCATTCTATAAAACCACTATTAGCATGATAACAAAATCAGACAAATAAAATAAAACATTTTAAAAGAAAACTACAGATCACTATCCTGCATGAATACAGATGCAAAACTTCTTAACAAAACTCTAGCAAATGGATTTCAACAATATATAAAAATAATAATATACCATAACTAAGTGACACTTACCCAGGAATGCAAAGCTGGTTCACTACTCAAAAATCAACCTATATAAAACACAATATTAACAAGTTAAAGAAGAAAAATAACATGATCATATAAATTGATATAGAAAAAAATATTTGGCAAAATCTAATCCCCATTATGATAAAAATTCTCAGAGAATCAGGAGAAAAATGTTCTAAACTTGGTAAAGAATACTAAATAAAAAAATCTATACCTAACATCATATTTATGGTGAAAAACTAAATGCTTTCCCTACAATATTGAGAAGAAAAGAAGGTTCAATTTCAGCACTACTATTTGGCGTAATACTGGAAATTCTAGCAAGGTGAATAGGCAAAGAATATAAGATAAAAACATAATAAAAGCCATATATGTTGAAAATAAGAAATAAAACCGCTTCTATTTGCAAATGACATGCTGTCCATGTAGAAAATCCAAATTATTTTATTTTTTTAAATTATATTATTAGTAAATTAGATCATCAAGGTAGTGGGATATTACATTTATATATATTAGCAATGAACAATGGCAGTATTCTCCAAATTTGTCTACAGATTTAACAGAACCCTTATCAAAATCCCAGCTAGACTTTTCACAAAATTATCCTAAGATTCATATGGAAACTCATGGTTCCCAGATTTACCAAAACAATATTGAAAAAGAAGAACTACGTTGAAGAACTCACACTTACCAATTTCAAAACATAATACAAAACTACAGTAATTATATGGCACTGGCATAAATATAGACATACAAATCAATGGGATAGAACTGAGATTTCAGATATAGACTCTATATTTATGGCCATTTGATTTTTAGCAAAAATGTCAGGACAATTCAATAGGGAAAGAATAGCTTTGCCAACAAATAGTGGAGGGATACCAGGTTATCTGTATCCAAAAGGATAAAATTGGACCTGTACTTCATATGGTACACAAAAAATAATGGGAAATAGGTCAGAAGCTTAAAAATAAGAGATAAATAACTACAAATCTCTTAGCCAAAACATAGGAATAAATCTTCATGACTTTGATTTAGACAATGGTTTCTTAGATGTGACACCAAAGCACAAAAAAAAGAGACAAATTGGACTCCATCAACATTTTAAAACTTTCATGCTGTTAAGGACAATCAGGAAAGTAAAAAGAGGTGGTAACCAGGAAAATGGCAGACAGGAGACAGGACTAACATGCAGCTCCCACTTGGATGGACAGAACAGTGTATGAAGGTTCACATCATGAATTTTTCCTCTAAGAACCACCACAGGAACATATTAGGAAAACCAAAATAATTCACGGACCCTTTGAAATAAGTGGCTTGCCACTGGAAACTCTGAGACAGCCAAAAAACTGTGAGTCCCCGAAGTGTGAGAGGGGAAACAGTCTGCAGAACACATCCCCACTGGGGAACCTGAAAATCCAGATCACAGGAGAAGGACTTAACCTTACCTAGAGGTGAAATGGATTTAGGGAGCCAAGCAAAACACAAAAGTAGAAAAGCCAGCAGAAAGAGCCCATAGGCACTCCCAAGTCCCCAGCTTGAGCCCAGGGAAGCAATCCCAGGCAATATCTCACAGGGGTCCTTGGAGAAGGCAGCCAGAAGAACTGGGGAGGGGTCACAGGGTGAAGGAAGCTTCTAGCTAAACTTTGTAATAATTTTGACTGAGCATGAATTTTCCTGAGCAGAATCTATGGGTGGGGTGCGAAGGAGAAGTGCAAGTATGAGTACAGAAGCAACAGCCAAAGGCACGAACAGGAAGGAAGGGGCAGGGTCTGAGACCCCTGCTTGCTTCCTCAGCAGAGAGGCTTGTAGCCTGGGGCAAGATCTCAGCCCTACACTCCAGCTGCCTGGATATAAATTTGGTGCTGTTGGCAGGGCACAGTGGGAGTGAGACTAGCCTAGCTGGCTACATGAGAGCTGGATGAGACCTGTGACTAATGACTTTCCCTCACTTTCCTGGTGATCTGTATGATGCAGCAGAGGCAGGCATAATCCTCCTTATGACATAACTCCACTGGCCTGAGACCCACCTCCTCATCCCTCACAGAGACTGCAGCAAGCCCTGCCCAAGAAGAATCTGACCTCAAATATGCCTAAACCCGCCCCCATTTGATGTTTTTTCTCTACCCACCAGTAGCCAAAGACAAAAGACAAACTCTTGGGAGCTCTATGGCCCCACCCCATTGCCTGAGAAACCTAAATACTTATCCTAGCCAACACAGGGCAAACTTACAACCCCCTTCTACTACCACAGCTGGTGTTCTCTTGAAAGTCCCACCTCCTGGCTGAGGCCCAACTAACTCAAACCATTATGGCAACTCACAACAGAACAACTGTGCTCCAAAGAAGGAGAAAATAACAGCTAAATCCATGACCTGCAACATCCTGGCTAACCAGAGATCCTGAGTCTGTCCCCATGACAACTTCACTGCTAGCATAACCAGCATTTCAGAAAACCAGTGCCCTAAACAAAACTGCAACCAAGGACTTCCACAGAGTCCATGTCACTTTTCTGCCATATCTATTAGAGCAGGTGCTGGAATCCATAACTGGGAATCCTGAAAATGGGTAACATCACAGGACTCTTTGAAGACATTCCCAGCACCAGCTCAGAGCCCAGTAGCCCCACTGACTGGCTAGACAGAACGGTGAACACAATCACTGCTGTTCAGCTCTCAGGAAGCCCCATCCCCAGGGGAAGAGGAAGAGCACCACATCAAGGGATTGCCACATGGAACAAAAAAATCTGGACAGCAGCCCTTCAGTCCCAGATCTTTCCACTGAAACAGTCTACCCAAAGGGGAAGGAACCAGAAACGGAAGTATGATAATGTGACAAAACAAGATTCTATAACATTCACAAAAGATCACACTAGAGCAATGAATCCAAACCAAGAAGAAATCTCTGAATTGCCAGATAAACAATTCAGAAGGTTGATTATTAAGCTATTCAAGGAGGTACCAGAGAAAGGTGAAAACCAACTTAATACAATTTTTTAAAATACAGGCTATGGATGAAAAAGTCTCCAGAGAAATAGATATCATAAAGAAAAAACAATCACAACTTCTGGAAATGAAAGACACACTTAGAGAAATACAAAATACACTGGAAAGTTTCAACAATAAACTAGAACAAGTAGAAGAAAGAACTTCATAGCTTGAAGACAAGGCTTTCTAATTAACCCAATCCAACAAAGAAAAAAGAATTTTAAAAAATGAATAAAGCCTTCAAGAAATTTGGGATTATGTTAAATGACCACACATAAGAATAATTGATATTCCTGAGGAAGAAGAGAAATCTAAAACTCTGGAAAACTTATTTGAGCAAATAATCTAGGAAAACATCCCCGGTCTTGCTAGAGATCTAAACATCCAAATACAAGAAGTTCAAAAACCACACAGGAAATTAATTGCAAAAAGGTCATCATCTAGATACATAGTCACCAGGTTATCTAAAGTCAAGACAAAGGAAACCATCTTAAGAGCTGTGAGGCAAAAGCATCAGACAACCTATAAAGGAAAACCTATCAGATTAACAGCAGATTTCTCAGCAGAAACCCTACTGAGGCCTGAAGGGAATGGGGTCCTATTGTTAGCCTCCTTAAGCAAAATAATTTTCAGCAAATAATTTTGTACCCAGCAAAACTAAGCTTCATAAATGAAAGAGAGATAAAGTCTTTTTCAGACAAACAAGTGCTGAGAGAATTTGCAACTACCAAGCCATCACTACAAGAAATGCTAAAAGGAGTTCTAAATCTTGAAACACAACCTCAAAGTACACCAAAATAGAACCTCCTTAAAGGATGAATCTCACATGGCCTATAAAACAATAACACAATTAAAAAAAAGATATTCAGGCAACAACTAGCACAATGAATAGAACAGTACCTCACATTTCAATACTAACATTTAATGTCAATGGCCTAATGCTCCACTTAAAAGATACAGAATGGCAGAATAAATAAGAATTCACCAACCAAATATCTGCTGTCTTCAAGAGATTCACCTAACAAATAGGGACTCACATAAACTTAAGGTAAAGGGGTGGAAAACATAGTCCATGCAAATGGACATCAAAAGCAAGCAGGACTACCTATTTTTATAGTAGACAAAACAGACTTTCAAGCAACAGCAGTTAAAAAAGACAAGGAGGGACATTATATAATGATAAAAGGACTAGTTCAACAGGAAAATATCACAATCCTAAATATATATGCACCTAACACTAGAGCATCCAAATTTATAAAACAGTTACTACTAGACCTAAGAAATAAGATAGACAGCAACACAATAATAGTGGGGGACCTCAGTACTCCACTGACAGCACTAGACTGGTCATCAAGACAAAAAGTCAACAAAGAAACAATAGACTCAAACTATACCCTAGAAAAATCAACTTAACAGATATTTATTGAACAGTTTCCCCAACAACTGCAGAACACACATTCTTTTCATCAGCATATAGAACATTCTGCAAGATAGACCATATGATAGACCACAAAACAAATCTCAATAAATTTAAGAAAATTGAAATGATATCAAGTACTCTCTCAGACCACAGTGAGAATAAAATTGGAAATTAACTCCAAAAGGAACCCTCAAAACTATACAGACACATGGAAATTAAATAATCTGCTCCTGAATGATCTTTGGGTCAACAATGAAATCAAGATTGAAATTAAAAAATTATTTTACCTGAACAATAATAGTGACAAAACCTATCAAAACCTTTGAGATACAACCAAAAAAGGTGCTAAGAGGAAAGGTCTTAGCATTAAGTGTCTATATTCAAAACTTTGAAAGAGCACAAACAGACAATCTAAGCTCAAACTCCAATGCACTAGAGAAACAAGAACAAACCAAACCCAAACTCAGCAGAAGAAAAAACATAACAAAAATCAAAACAGAATTAAATAAAATTGAAACAAAAAAATAAATGAAACCAAAAGCTGTTTCTTTGAAAAGATAAACAAAATTTGACAATTAACAAAATTAACCAAGAAAAGAAAAGATCGAAATAAGTTCAATTAGAAATGAAATAGGAGATATTACAACTGATACAACAAAAATACAAAAGATCATTCAAGGCCACTATGAACACCTTTGTGTGTACATACTAGAAAACCTAGAGGAGATGGATAAATTATTGGAAACTTACAACCCTCCTAGATTGAACCAGGAAGAATTAGAAACTCTGAGCAGACCAATAACAAGTAGTGAGATTGAAACCATAATAAAAAATTGCCAACAACAAAAAAAGTACAGAACCAGATGGATTCACAGATGAATTATATCAGACATTCAAAGAAAAATTGGTACCAATCCTGTTGAAACTATTCAAAAGGATAGAGAAAGAGGGAATCCTCCCTAAATCATTCTATAAAACCAGTATCAGCCTAATACCAAAACCAGGAAATGACATAACAAAAAAAGAAAACTACAGACCAATATCTCTGATGAATATAGATGCTAAAATCCTCAACAAAATACTAAATATCCAAATCCAACAGCATATCAAAAAGATAACCCACCACGATCAAGTGGGTTTTATACCAAGGATGCAGGGTTGGTTTAACATACACAAGTCAATAAATGTGATATACCACATAATTTAACATAAGCAAGTCAATAAATGTGATACATCTTGTAAACAAAATTAAAAATCAAAATCACATAATCATCTCAATAGATGCAGTAAAAGCATTTGACAAAATCCAGCATCCCTTTATGCTTAAAACTCTCAGCAAAATTAGCATACAAGGGATATACTTTAAGGTAATAAAAGCCATCTATGACAAACCCTCAGCCAACATTATACTGAATGGGGAAAAGTTGAAAGCATTCCCTCAAAAACTGGAATAAGACAAGGATGCCCACTTTCACCATTTCTATTCAACACACTACTGGAAGTCCTAGCCAGAGCAATCAGACACAAGAAAGACATAAAGGGGATCCAAATCAGTAAAGAGGAATTCAAACTATTGTCAGTAGTACGATTGTATACCTGGAAAACCCTAAAGACTCATCCAAAGAGCTCCTAGATCTGATAAATTGATTCAGTAAAGTTTCAGGATACGAAATCAATGTACAAAAATCAGTAACCCTGCTATACACCAACAATGACCAAGCTGAGAGTCAAATCAAGAACTCAACCACTTTTACAATAGCTGAAAAAAAAAAAAAAAGATAAAATACTTAGGAATATCCCTAACCAAGGAGGTGAAAGAACTCTACAAGGAAAGCTACAAACCACTGCTCAAAGAAATCAAAGATGACATAAACAAATGGAAACACATCCCATGCTCATGGATGGGAAGAATCAATATCATGACAATCACCATAGGGCCAAAAAAATCTACAAATTCAATATAATGCTCATCAAAATACCATCACCATTCTTCACAGAACTAGAAAAAAACAATCCTAAAAGTCATATGAAACAAAAAAAAGAGTCCACATAGCCAAAGAAAGACTAAGCAAAAAGAACAAACCTGGAAGCATCACATTACCCAACTTCAAACTATACTACAAGTCCAGAGTTACCAAAGCAGCACATGACTGGTATAAAAATAGACACATAGACCAATGGAACAGAATAGAGAACTCAGAAATAAACTCACGTACTTACAGCCAAGTGATCTTTGACAAAGCAAACCAAAACAAAAAGTGGGGAAAGGACATCCTATTCAAAAATGGTGCTAGGATAATTGGCAAGCCACATGTAGAAGAATGAAACTGGATCTTCCTCTCTCACCTTATACAAAAACCAACTCAAGATTGATCAAAGACTTAAATCTAAGACCTGAGACTATTAAAATTCTAGAAGATAACATCAGAAGAAACTTTTCTAGACATTGGCTTAGGCAAAGAGTTCACGACCAAGAACCCAAAAGCAAATGCAACAAAATAAAAATAAACAGATGGGACTTAATTAAACTAAAAAGCTTCTGCACAGCAAAAGAAATAATCAACAGAATAAACAGACAACCCACAGAGTGGGAGAAAATATTTGCAAACTATGCATTAAAGAACTAATATCCAGAATCTACAAGAAACTCAAACAATTCAGCAAGAAAAAAAAAATCCTATCAAAAAGTGGGCTAAGGACATGAACAGAAAATTCTCAAAAGAAGATGTACAAATGGCCAATAAACATATGAAAAAATGTTCACCATCACTAATGATCAGGGAAATACAAATCAAAACCACAATGGGATACTACCTTACTCCTGCAAAAATGGTCATAATTTTAAAATTTAAAAAAAATAGATGTTGGTGTGGATGTGGTGAAAAGGGAACACTTTTACACTGCCGGTGGGACACTAGTTGTACACTAGTACAACCACTATGGAAAACAGTATGAAGACTCCTTAAAGAATTAATAGTAGAACACCATTTGATCCAGCAATTCCACCCAGAGGAAATGAAGTCCATACACGAAAAAGACACTTGCACATGCATGTTTATAGCAGCATAATTCGCAATTGCAAAAATATGGAACCAGCCTAAATCCCCCTCAACCAATGAGTGGATAAAGAAGATGTGGTATATATATATATATACCATGGAATACTTCTCAGCCATAAAAAGGAACAAAATCATGGCATTTGCAGCAACCTGGATGGTGTTGAAGACCATTATTCTAAGCGAAGTAACTCAGGAATGGAAAAACAAACATCACTTATAAGTGAGAGCTAAGCTATGAGGATGAAAAGACATAAGAATTATATAATGGACTCTGGGGGAAGGGTAGGAGGGGTGTGAGAGATAAAAATCTAGACATTGGGTACAGTGTACACTGCTCAGGTGATGAATGCACCAAAATCTCAGAAATCACCACTAAAAAACTTATTCATATACCAAACACCACCTGTTACCTAAAACCTATTGAAATAATAATTTTTAAAAAGTAAAAAGACAACCCACAATGGCAGAATATATCGTTAAATAATATTTCTTACAAGGAACTTAATTCCATAATACTAGGTTGGTGCAAAAGTAATTGTGGTTTTTGCCACTGGGAAAAAAAATGGCTAAAACTACAATAACTTTTGCACCAACCCAATATATAAATTACTCTTAGAACTCAACGACATAAAGACAAATAGCTCAATTAAAAATAGGCAAACAACTTGAATAGATGTTTCTCCCAAAAAAGGATACACAAGTGGCCAAGAAGCACATGAAAAGATACTTAATACCAAAGTCATTAAGGAAACGAAAATTAAAACCATGAGAATATATCACTTCAGCCGGGTGCAGTGGCTCATGCCTGTAATCCTAGCACTTTGGAAGGCTGAGGTGGGCAGATCACCTGAAGTCAATAGTTCAAGACCAGCCCAGCCAACATGGTGAAACTCTGTCTCTACTAAAAATACAAAAATTAGCTAGGCGTGGTGGCATGTGCCTGTAGTCCCAGCTTCTCGAGAGGCTGAGGCAGGAGAATTGCCTGAACGTGGGAGGCAGAGGTTGCAGTGAGCCAAGATCATGCCACTGCACTCCAGCCCAGGTGACAGAGCAAGACTCCATCACAAAAATAAAATAAAATAATTTTTTAATATAATAAAAATAAAAATAAAGAATATATCACTTCACACTCACTAGAATGGCTGTAATCAACAAGACAAACAATAACAAGTGTTTGCAAGTATGTGGAGTAATTGGAACCTTTGTGTATTGCTGATGGGAATGTATAATGGTTTAGCCACTTTGGAAAACAGTATGGCAGTTCTTCAGTTAAATGTAAAGTTACCATACGATCCAGGAATTCTACTCCTAGGTATCTATCCAACAGAAAACACATGTTCACACATAAACTTGTGCCTAAGTGTTTATAGCAGTATTATTCACAGTTGCCAAAAAGTATGAGCAACCCAAATTTCCACCAACTGATGAATGGATAAACAAAAGGTAGTATCCATACAGTGGAATATTATTTGGTAATAAAAAAGAATGAAAAATTGGCACATCCTACAATATGGATGAACCTCGAAATATTCTGCTAAATGAAAGAAGCCTGTCACAAAAACATTTTATGATTCTATTCACATGAAATGTCCAGAATAGGAAAATCCATATAAAGAGAAAATAGAGTAGTGGTGGCTAGAGGCTGGGTGGCTAGCAGAAAGAAGAGAGGCTGCTAATAGGTATGGGGTAACAGAAATGTTCTACAGTTAATTGTGATGATGGTTACAAAATTGGATTTTATGGTTTTTTTATATCTCAATAAAGCTGTTATTATTAAAAAACTATTCAACGAAGCTGTTGTTTTTTAGAGTATTGCATTAATGGAACTCCTATTGTTGAATTATCCTGGTGTTACTAAAACAAATCCCTAATGTTTATGACAAATTATTCTCTAAATACAGACCCAAATTAAGTTTGAAAATATTCTATCTAGAAATTTTGCATCTAATTTTGAAAATGAAATAAATCTATGTATTAGTTTCCTGGAGCAGCCATAACAAAATACTGTAGTGGGATACTACATTTATATACTGGCAATGAAAAATGGCAATAGTCTTCAAATTTATCTACAGATTCAACAGAATCCTTATCAAAATCACAGCTAACCTTTTCTCAAAATTGTCCTAAAATTCACATGGAAACTAAAAAACCCAGACTAGACATAACAATTTTGAAAAAGAACAAAGTTAGAGAACTCACACTTACTGATTTCAAAATACTGTAGTATTTTGTTATGGCCACTCCAGAAAACTAATACATAGGCAGCCTACACTAGAGACATTTATTTTCTCAAAGTTCTGGAGGTTGAAAATCCAAGATCTAGGTGTCAGCAGGTTTGGTTTCTTCCCAGGCCTCACCATTTGGCTTCCAAATGGCTGTCTTCTCACTGTGTCCTCGCATAGTCTTTCCTCTGTGTACATCCCCCAGTGTCTCTCTCTCTCTGTGTCCAAATTTCCTTTTCCCATAGCACCAGTCAGATCAAATTAGGGGCCACCCTAATCGGCCTCATTCTAGCTTAATTGCCTTTTTAAAGGTTTTACCTTCAGACAGCCACATTCTGAGTCACTGGGAGTCAGGGCTTCAACATATGAATTTGGAAGGACAGAATTCAACCCATAGCAATCTATAAATTATTTCTTTGCACTGTCCTTTTCCAATTTTGTTCCTCTAGTTATACTGACTTCTTAAAATGATTCAGTAACACCTCTTTTTTTCTGTGACTAGAACAATTCAAATACCATGGACAATATCTATTTCTTGAAGGTTTGATATATTTGAACCAAAAAAATCTCTGGACCTGGCATCTTCTGAGCATTTGATGTCTCCCTTTTCTGTGTTGTAATGTGAATGTATTACTCTTATGTCCTCTATTGTTTTAATGAAATCTAGGACTCAAAAAGAGATACGGTATGTGCTCCGTTAGGTAGATGCTTCTATGTGAATTTGGGGGTATTTTAAATACATGTATATAATCATACTGTAAAATGTTGTGACTTTTTAAATTTTATTATATTATTAAAAATTTTACTAACTATAAATTATTCATAATGACAAATTTAAAGACAACTAATATTTCATCTATTAAATGTACCAGAGGACACTTAACTCACCCTTTATTTTTAACATTTAGGTCAATTCTAATTTATACTAAACCAAGGTATACTTCTCTATGGATGAATCTTTTCTGTATTTGTGATTGTTATCTTAGCCTAGATCCCTAAAAATGGGATTATTAGCTCAAAAATCATAAATATTTTAAAGTATTTATGCATGGTACCACATAATTTTCTAAAAGCATTATATCATTTTATAGAAATTATAAAAATTCACCAGCATTTCGCTTTGCCTTCACCAACATTATAATCATTTTTTTTAATGTTTGTTAATCATAGGTTTTTAAAAAAGCCTACAGTTTTTCTAATTTTCATTTGTTTACTGATAAGGTTAAAGGTTTTTCATGTTTTATTATTTCCATATGTTTATGGTCTCTGTCCATTTATATTTATGATCTTAATGCATTTATTATCTATATATGTGGTAGAGACAGCAAATCTCCATGTATCTTGTTGCTATGAGAATTCCATTGGCTATTTGTAATCTTTTTATTTTGAGACATAATATATTTAAATATAGTGTAACCTATCACTCTTTTCTCTAATTCATATAATTATTTTAACCCAAAACTATTTTACAGTGAGAGATTGGATAAATATATTAACTTTTATTTCTTTTTCATTGTTTAATTATGTATATTGATCCTTTAATTCTATTGAAAATTATTTTACTCACTTTTTAAAAGTTAATTCTGTATTGTTTTCTCATTTGACCCCTCTCTTGGTCAGGGTTCTTAGCTGAAAGCAACAGAATCCTCTTTAACTAACTTCAGCAGAAAAGGAATTTATTGAATGATACTAGGTATTTTATAGAATTGTTGACAGAGCTGGGGAAACAGACTTGAGACTAAACTTCCAAGAATAATAAAGGCCCAAATCATGCCAGACAACTGTAAGAAACTGTACCAACACAACTTCTGTTACTACCACCAAGTACCAGGCCCAGATTTACTTTACAGCCATCATTACTGCCTCCTGCACTGATGCCATGCCTGCATCACAAAATTGATCTGGGAGTCAGTGCCAGATACCAACCAAACAGAAACTCCGTGAAATGTTTATTTTCTCCAAATTAAAGACTCGTGCACATCATGTGCTTACTCTCCAGCAATGACAGAGCCTAAGAATTTGGGTTCTGAGTTTCACATCAGAGGGCACAACTCGTAACACTGGAATTTCTCCCAAATATACAAAGGATGGCAATCACATAGAGAACAAATGCCCACAAGTTATTTTGAGCCAAATATCCATTTTTTTCTACATTTTTCTGCTGGTTTTAAATTAATAATATTGTATTTAGATTAAGAGCCCTTTAGGGCATAGAATTGGAAAATATGTTTCAGATATTGCAATATCACTTGAGCTTAAAGATAAAGAGCATAAATTCTGAAGTCAGGCTGTCCAGACTCGAATTTCAGCTTTGCCTCTTACTAGTTGTGTGACTTGGTCACATTAATTGTCTCATTTAACTTTTGTACAAAATGGAGATAGTTAAATACCTACTTCATAGGATCATCTTGGGCATCAAATAAACAGCACCAGACATCAAACAAACACTATGTGTTTTAGTGATTTTGTTTTAATCTTCTTCCCCAAGGTATTCTTTGTCCTGCTTGAAATGTTTCCATTTACTTCTACCCTTAACTTCTGCCCTTAGCCAGTTTTCAGTCTAAGCTGTCAACTTCTGTTCTATTTCACAACTCTGCACCTTAGATATTTGCTTCTGATGCGGAACTCTGTTAAATGCTATCTAAAATGATTTGTAAACTGTGGGCTGATTTTTCAATAGCATCAGTGCATAGGTTAAAAACTCTCTCTGAGAATAAGATATAATAGAAAGATGTTAAAGGAAGTGATTCTGAACCTCTTTCCAACATGAAGAGCTGCATACCATAATGATACTGACTAAACATTTCATAGTTGTTTAGCCATGTGCTAAATACTTCAAATACATTACATCATATAAGTTTTGCAATCAGATTTTGATATTGTTGTTTAGGAAGTGAGTATTAAGACTCTCTTTTGGATTTGAGAAAAATGAAGCTCACAGAATTTGACTTCCATAGTGTGGTATCCTATGGCTGCTATAACAAATGACCACTGACTTAGTGACTTGACCCAAATGTATTATCTTCTAGTGCTGGAGGTCAGAAGTCTGAAATTGATCCTTTAATTCTACTGAAAATTATTTTACTCACCTTTTAAAAGTTAATTCTGTATTGTTTTCTCATTTGACCCCTCTCTTGATCAGGGTTCTTAGCTGAAAGCAACAGAATCCTCTTTAACTAACTTAAGCAGAAAAGGAATTTATTGAATGATACTAGGTATTTTATAGAATCACTAAATCGTTGGGTTAAAACCAAGGTGATGGCAGGGCTTTGTTCTCCATATTCAGGCTCTTGGGAAGAATCTGTTTCTTCCCTTTTCCAGCTTCTGGAGGCCACCCATATTACTTGGCTGATGAACTTTTTCCATCTTGAAAGCCAGCACACTGCCATTCCTCCAGTTATCTCACTCTGTTTTCCTTTTCCATTTAATCCACATAAGGAGTCTAGTGATTACATTGGACTCACCAGGATAATCTGGGATAATCTTCCTATCTCAAGGTCAACTGATTTGTTATCTCCTCTGCAACCTAAATGTAAGGTAACATATTCACAGATTCCTGGGATTAGGTTGTGGACCTCTACAGGGAGCATTACTCTGCCTGTGACAATTTTTTAAAATTTGTTATTCCCCATCTTTCACAGTCCAACTACATTTCTTTTTTAAAAAATTTAGATTTAGCTTGAATTTATTTATTTATTTTTGTTTTATTATTTGCTTCTTCTATTGATATTTAATAGTTCATATTTTTGGTGTATATGTGATATTTTGATATCTGTATACAATGTATAATGATCAAATCAAGGTAATTGACTTTTTCATCAACTCAAACATTTATCTTTTCTTTGTGTTGGGAATATTACAATTCTTCTACCTATTTTGATATATACAATAAATTATTGTTAGCTATAATTTTCCTACTGTACTGTCAAATACTAGAACTTATTCCTTCTATATAACTGTATTTTTGTACCTTTTAACCAATTTTTTGTCCCTCCTCCTCCCTTGCCTTCCCAGCTCCTGGTAACCACCATTCTACTCTCCACCTCCCATAAGATCCATTTTTTTAGCTCCCAAATATGAGTGAGAAAAATTTGTCCTTCTGTGCCTGGCTTATTTATTTGACATAATGACCTCTAGTTCCATCTATGTCACTGTAAATGACAGTATTTCATTCTTTTTTAATATTGCATTGTGTTTATATAACACATTTTCTTCATCCTTTCATCCATTAAGAGACACTTAGGTTGATTCCATATCTTGGCTATCGTGCATAGTGCTGCAATAAACATGTGTTTGTTACTTATACCAATTTGTTTTCTTTTGGATATATATCCAGCGTAGAATTATTAGATCATATGGTAGTTCTTTTGGTTTTTTAGGAACTCTCATATTGTTTTCCATCATGGCTGCACTACTTTACATTCATACCAATAGTGTATAAACATTCTTCTTTCTCCACATCCTTGTCAGCATATTATTTTTTGTCTTTTTGATATTTAATAATAGCTATTCTAGCTGAGGTGAGATGATATCTCATTGTGATTTTGATTTGCATTTCCCTGAACGTGTGTGATGTTGGGCATTGTTTGAATATACCTGTTGTTCATTTGTATGTCTTCTTTTGAGAAATACCTATTCTGGTCTTTCACCCATTTTTTAATCAGATTATTATTTTTATTATTATTATTATTTTGCTATTGAGTTATGTGAGTTATTATTTATCTATCTACATTTCTATCTCTCTTTCTCCATTTTTTTTTTTTTTTTTTTTGAGACAGAGTCTTGCTTGTCGCCCAGGCTGAAGTGCAGTGGCATGATCTCGGCTCACTGCAACCTCCACCTCCTGGGTTCAAGCGATTCTCGTGCCTCAGCCTCCCACATAGCTGGGATTACTGGTGCATGCCACCACACCTGGCTAATTTTTTATAGTTTTAGTAGGAATGGTGTTTCACCATGTTGGCCAGACTGGTCTCAAACTCCTGGCCTCAAACAATTCACCCGCCTTAGCCTCCCAAAATGCTGGGATTACAGGTGTGAGCCACCATGCCTGGCCTCTCTTCCTCCTTATCCTTGTAGAGACATAGTACTTTCCAGTACTTACACTTATCATCACACACTGGACTATTCCAGGCTATGTAACTAAACCTAGATCTAGCTAGGTACAATGTAAAAATACCCTCAGTAATTCTCTAGATCAGAATAAAATTAGTTCCAATGATAGCCCTACTCTGACTCTGAAAACTGAGTGTTCTAAGAGACTTGTACTTTCCTACGATCCCCCATCTCCTTTCTAGTACCTAAACATTTACCCAATACCTCTGAAAGCAAATCTACCCAATTTGAGACTTCTGTAACTTGACTCATTTCACCATTAGCCTAACCTAAAGATGATCATTCTCACAAAAACAACATTGCAGAAAATACCAGATGATTCATGCAAATATCAAGTTTACTTATCCTTCTACTCCCTTAGCAGTTAGTATAGGGCTTGGCATGGAGTGTGTACTCAAAAGAGTTTATTCAATAGATTATTTTAAATCTTCTTAAAATAAATCAAATTATATTTAATATTTTCTGAGCTCCTTTATTAAGAAAAGCTTAAAATCTTTATTTTTATGCCCAAGTTTTATATAAATTTTATGGTATGTCTAATGCACAAAATAGGAAGAAATTGTTAGCAAATTAATTTAAATATTTTTAAAATATTACATAATGCCTTACAAGACTCCTAATGTGGAATACACATGAAAGTTAAAAAAACTTTTTACGCGCCGGGTGCAGTGGCTCATGACTGTAACCCCAGCACTCTGGGAAGCTGAGGCAGGCAGATCACCTGAGGTCAGAAGTTTGAAACCAGCCTGGCCAACATGGTGAAACCCAATTTCTACTAAAAATACAAAAATTAGCCAGGCGTGGTGGCATGCACCTGTAATCCCAGCTACTCGGGAGGCTGAGGCAGGAGAATCGCTTGAACCCAGGAGGTGGAGTTGCAGTAAGCTGAGATTGCACCACTGCACTCCAGCCTGGACAACAGAGCGAGACTGCATCTCAAAAAAAAAAAAAATTTATGAACTTTGTGATTTTCAAATTTAATTCAAATTTAATACAGGACAAAAGGAATCTTTTTTTTAAAAAAAATCTACCAATAATAGAAAATAAAAACACATCTGAATTTTTAATTATCAGGTTCCTATGTATTACATTTTTGGTTTTCGTGTAATTATAATCCATACTATCTGAGGAATATAGTGTGATTTTTTGGGTTTCTAAGGAAGAGATTTTAACCAAGGATATTTTCTTTGCCAAACCTTAGTGATGCATCCTTCATTGCATCATGAACCTGAGTTGTTTTCCAAACAATACTGAAGTCCCAATTCTACTGACTAACACATAAATTATGTTTTTCTCTACCTTGTGGATTTATTTGGATTTATAAAAGTAAATCTCAATCTGTACAGCTACCCATGGATTTCCTCAGAACATTCCCAAATCTTAAAACCATGATTATTGATATCCTAACTTATAGAAGAAAAACTAGATTATATATAAAAAATAAAGTAAGTCTTTATTACAAAGGAATACTTTTCACTGTATCATATCTAAAACTGCAATAATCTGGACAAGGGCTATCTAAAGGTAGAGCTACTAGTTGATCATTTGTTATCTCCTTTAAGGATACCTTCCCCAATCTTTGATTTGATACTTCTTGCCCTCAAGCAACTAGCTCTTTGTGTTTTTCAAAGCTTCTTTAACTTATATTCTACACTGTCCCTGTTCTCTCTTCCTTGTGTAAAGCTCGCTTGCTTGTTCCTGTGCCTTTTAGCTGGGTGGGTAACCAATGTGATAACTTAATTGGTGCCAGTGTGATAATAGGGATTATGATTAAATGGAGTAGGTTTCACATGTAATGCAATTATACTACTTAAGCATTTAATGTCATAACCCCATATGTTTATTAATTGTGAGATTTTCAAATATTAGGTCAAGTCAATAGTGGATATTTTGAGACAAGCAGGTACTTGTGTCATACCATAATGCAATAAGCTGCTTACTCAAGGCAAGCCATAATTACAAAATTGTTATCCCATTCTTGCATGACTGCTGAAAAGAAACCTTAAAGCATACCAAAACATCACATTTTTTCTTATTATATGGATCCTTAGACAACATATGAGCTAGGACACATGTATTCTCTTATTAATCAATAGCATATGGCTTAATGCTAAATTGCTTCTGTTTCTCACTCTACACTAGAACCTTCCATTTATTGTTTTATAAATCTTTGGATTGAATTTCCTTCCTTCCTTCCTTTCTTTTTTTTTGAAACGAAGTTTCACGTTGTCCAGGCTGGAGAGCAATGGCATGATCTCGGCTCACTGCAACCTCCACCTCCCAGGTTCAAGCAATTCTCCTGCCTCAGCCTCCCAAGTAGCTGGGATTACAGGCACTCGCCACCATGCCCGGATACTTTTTTGTATTTTTCGTGGAGACAGGGTTTCACCATGTTGGCCAACTGGTCTTGAACCCCTGACCTCAGGTGATCCACCAGCCTCGACCTCCCAAAGTACTGGGATTACAGGCATGAGCCACCTCACCCGGCCACATTTTCATTCTTAATTGTATCTTTTGGTGAAAGTTTAAATAATATTCTCCATAATTCATTACTTAACTAAATTCTTACTTTTATTCTGCAACAAAATAATTGATAATTCATAAGACAAATCTATAAAGACACCACCCAGGGATTTACAGCTAAATGAAGATGAGATGACCACAAAGAGTAGACAAAGATAAGTACTCTTTGCTTTATACCAGAAGTTAAAAACTTTAATTTCCAAGGTTATCATAAGTTTATAGTCTTAGAAAACTCATTAAAAACAGTTTGATCCAATTTTATAGAAATCATAATATATTGGAAATATTTAAATGACAGTCTAGTTTTTTAAGAAAAATCAAAGTCCAGCTGAATCTGCAATAAATACCATCAAAAAATATTATCATGTACAAAATAATAGGGTGACAACATTGTAGAAAATGATAGAAAAATAATTTATATGTCATGTGATTAACCACTATTTTTTTAATTCCAAAAGTCCACCATGTCTTTAAGAGACAAGATTAGTAAAATGTTAATAATTGTTAAAACCAGATGGGTTAATAAAGTTCATTAAATTAGTCTCTATTTTTGCACATGTTTAAACTTCTATAATAAAACATTTAAACATAAAGAAAAAGATATATAGATTATAATTACTGAAATACATAGTCTCAAAAGATAGATATTTAGTAGGTGTCAATGATAGTTCATTAACTGTCCTCTGAATCAGTAGGCAAATTTTTATCTGCTTAGGTTATGGTAAATTCATCTTTGGAAAAATAGTGGATTACAAGAGGAAATCTCAACCAAACCTGGGAAAGTAAACTAAAGAGAAATAAGAGCAGAATAATTCAATGAAAATTCTATTGTCATATAATCCTGATGATATATTATCAAGGTTAGTAAAATGGTTGGCCAACATCTATTATTATAGAACTAATATTACAGGTATATTCTATGATAGGAGCAAAGAAGACGGTAAAAGAGAGAAAAGGTCTCAAGACTTAGAAAAGAAATTATAGTTAGGAAGCTAAAAGAATGTAGAGGCTGTGATGCAGGTAGGAAACCCATATCCAATATGGACACAGGAGTTTGAAACGGTGAATCGGTGAATAAAACATAAAAGGCCCAAGGATAAGCACTGGTAACTGAATAACACTTGTGTCTTAATGCACATTCCACCACTACATCTCCAGCACTCCCTTTCCTTCTCCCACTGCAAGTGGGTAAAAATCCATTATCAAGACTATTCAATTCCTTAAACTAAGAACACTGGGGTATTTTGAGAGACATTAGAGAGTGTGGCTAAATGTACATACTCTAGAGCCAGATGTACTCGATAACTATATCACCTTCCTTACCTGTAAGACAGAGATAACAGTAGTATTCACTTATTTCTGTTATTACAGAGTTTGTTGAAATGATAATGTGATGGTTGACCAGTCCTTAGCCATTGGATTGCACAGAAAACTTCAAAGAAAGTAGCCCTCTTCTGTAACCACCTGGAATTTAAAATTTACCCAGAACTTTTAATAGTTTTAAACACAGATAATTATTCCCTACCAAAGAAAAGCTGAGGCATGGAAGTTGTTTACTTTCACAAACACATTTTTCTATATTTTAAACAGGCAAGGAGCTTAAAAGATAATTTTAGAAAATGAGGCATCTGGCCTTACCTCTTGATCTCTAGAAAACCTCAGTATAAAATAGGCTGAAAAAATAAAGGAGACTTTTTTCAAGCAGTTCATATTTGCCACAGTTAAACACTGCTGAGGGTAAAGTTATGGCCTTTCAAAGAAAGAATTCACTTGCTTTCCACAGCTTCAGACTCTGTACAGTGAAATGTCCATCAAAGAAGAAGATAAAGAGGGTGAGTTGACCACTTAGCTGAGAAATAAAGATCAAAAGAGTGATGGTGTAGTAAGTGGTAGAACCATCACTGGATAAGATGTTCAGCAAAACATGTCCTAAATCCATTTTGCCTCTAAGTACAGAATCTTACCAAGTCACCCTACTTTTTCAAACTTTTTGATTATCTGTTTCTTGTGGGGATTGAATTATATTAGCTCCAAAATCCCAGCACTAAAAGTATGTAGCTCAAATCCTCACAATTCTCATCCAGTAACCTAGATGCTTTTGTAAATTTCCTCCACATTTCAAATTTTTTTTTTTTTTTTTTTGCTGCAGACCACACTCTTGATCTAACACTTTAATATTACCTCAGAGGAATGTCACAAGTAGACTAGACTTTAAAGAGACATTTGATGAAGTGTCTCATTATGTTCTTGTGAATGAAAGAGACACATGAGCTGGGTAATACTACAGTATGTGGATTTATATTTTTTCTATCTACTATACCAAAAGAATAATAATTGACTGATGATTGGTTCATTAATTACTTCATTAGTTAATAGATTGCAGTCTTTATAAATAAGTTTATAGTTGTATTCCACAGAATTTCTGATCCTGTCTCTGCCCTACCCAATGTTTTATCATTAAACTTCATTTACATAAGATAGTATGTTCAACAAATATAAAGATTTGCTGGAATGGAAGGCACAGTAAGATATTTCACAGGATAAAATTAAAGTAGATGTCAACAGAGTAAATCAAAGTGAAATTTAATAGAGTTAAACAGTAAGTGTTTTAAATACCAGGATTAAATTCCATGAAGCTGCAGCTTTTAAAAAAAGGCACAAAGTGGAATAAGAAAAAATGACTTTCAGAAAGTTAATGTAAAGAAAGCTCACGGTTTTCATTGGCTGCCTGCTCAGTTTGAGGTGATCTCATGATGTGGTGAATAAGTAGACACCGTCTCTCCGAGCTACCTTGACAGAAGTGTGGTGACCAGAACTAGGTAGAGATGGGCCTATTACATTCTGTGCTACTCATAAGTCACCTATCGTATCACAATTTAGTTCTTGGTACCACACTCTAGTAGGAAAATATATCATCAAAAGATATTCAAAGTAGAGGGCAAAGGTGGAGAAGAATATTTTTAAAAATTAATTACGAAAAACAGCTGGAAGAACTTAAGTTGCTAATTCTATAAAGTATTTAAATATTGATAGGGCATGAAGAAGAAAAGAAGCATAATAACAGAAAGGAAGAGGAGGAAACCTAAGATTTGACAACTACACCAACAATTCATGCATTAATTTAGCAAATATTTACTGAGGACCAATTATGTGCCAGGCCTGATACGAGCTGCTAAAGATTCAGAAAGAATAGTCTCCACCCTTAAAGGCATTTACAATATTACAGAAGAAACAAGCAAAGAAGTGACTGCAATAAGATTGATTAGCGCTATCAGAGCACATAGGACAGATATGTAGCACTGGATGAACTTGACAAGATTTCCCAGATAAGATGTCTGTGTCTGGCACTGAGCCACTTAATGGCATCTCATTTATCCACCTGGCTTCATATGACTATAATAAATATGATTATAAGCCTTCAGTTAGGAGTTATGTGGAGAGATTTTTGGCTAAATGTGAAGAAATATTTTGAAATTTGTAGTTGTCTAAGAATAGAATAGTTGCCATGTAAGTGACGTGTCCCCTGCTATTCGAAGAGTTTGAAAAGAAGATTAACAATCAATTATTACACTGCATTATATTCTATTTCTCCTGGCTCTAAATTTTGAATTCTTTCTATGCTTAAAAATCACTAAACTTGTAGATTGGCAGAATAATAAATTTTGACTATTCCCTACCATATGCTCAAATCCTTGTGGAATGATTTGATGTAGTGATATAAAGGAAATGAATAGTAGAGAGTTGGACTTAATAGTCCAAAATACTTGTCTTCCACATCAGAATCACCTGGAAAGCTCTATTTAAGATATAAATAACAAGAATATCACCTAAAAGAATGATTTGATAAAGCTGAGATGAAATCAGGGCATCTTTACGTTTTAAAATTTCCCCAAAGTTGTTCACGGCCAGGTTAGAGAATTGCTGGACTCAGTGACTTCTAAGGTCTTTTAAAATTCCAAGATTCTACTGTCTCCTCAATTCCCATTCCCATGAAAACTTATTTGATGCAATCCATTTCTTTAATTAATTTAATGTTCTTATCCTGCTATCAAGGCAGCCTGATTTCTGGTAATAAATGTGCCTCAGTTGTATTTTTAAGAAGCTACTTTTCTTACTTCAATTGTGTAACTTGGGTTCTACCACTGATTAATTCTCTGGGTTACAGATAGGACACTTTGCCCAGTAACAAAAATAAACACAGACCTAGATTGGATTGGGATTCCTAAATCAAGCAAGTTGCTCAATTAAAACCAGATTGTGATCTTTTGTTCATACTACTTCTCATTTTTATTTTCTTTTTGTTTGTTATTTATGGAAATGTATCATCCAGAGAACGAAAACTACATCCATATATGTATGTATAAAAAGGCAAACCTGTCCACTATATAGTTTGGGCCACAACAAGATCGTAAATTATGTAGTTGAATGTAATCTCTGGCCTGACAAAAAGCATTAATAGGTGTATTCATCTCCTATTAAGCTAGAACAAATAACTGCAGATTTAATGACATCAAACAACAAAAATTTATCTTACAGTTCTGTAGGTTAGAAATGCACCATGAGAGCCAGGTGCAGTGGCTCACGCCTGTAATCCCAGCACTTTGGGAGGCCGAGGCGAGTGGATCATGAAATCAAGAGTTCAAGACCAGCCTAACCAACACGGTGAAACCCTGTCTCTACTAAAAATACAAAAATTAGCTGGACGTGGTGGCGCTTGACTGTAATCCCAGCTAGTCAGGAGGCTGAGGCAGGAGAATCGCTTGAACCCAGGAGGCAGAGGTTGCAGTGAGTGGAGATTGCACCACTGCACTCCAGCCTAGGCGAGAGTGAGACTCCATCTCAAAAAAAAAAAAAAAAAATTAAAGAAGTGCACCATGAGTTTCATTGGGCCTAAATCAAGGCATCTACAGGACTGCTTTTTTTTTTCTGAAGGCTCTAGAGCAGAATCTGTTTGCTTACTTTTGCCAGCTTTTACAGGCCATCCATTTCTTGGCTCCTGACGCCACCTCTTTCCATTTCCAAAGCCACCAACATTCCACCTCTCTGCCCATTCTTTCATAGTCACATCTCCCTCTGATCACAGTCAGGAAAGGTTTTCTGGCATTAGACACAGGTAGATACATTGGGCCAACCCAGATAAACCAGGATAGTTTCCCATATCAAAATTCTTATCTTAATCACTGCAAAGTACCTTTTGTCATTCAAGGTAACATATACAGAAGTTTCAGGAGTTAAGACATGGACATCTTTTGCAAGCCATAATTTTCCTTACTATAATGTCCAAAGGGGAGAGATCTTCCCATAGGTTTCTCTAAGTCCAGATTGTATCACCAATATCATATATTCTTAGAGGAAACAAATATTTTAGGCCAGCATAAAGTCTATGTAAGCTTCATTGCACAAATTTTCCAGTGTCTAGTTTGGCTGCTCAAAGTCTTTTTTCACTTATTTTTATATTCTGGATCATACTATTAAATGGGTCATTAGCAAACAAGGGAATTGTTACTCTATAAGACACTGCCTAATGTGATTTGGCTATGTCCCATCCAAATCTCATCTTGAATTGTAGCTCCCATAATCCCATGTGTCGTGGGAGGGACCCAGTGGTAGGTAATTGAATCATGGAGGTGGGTTTTCCTATGCCATTCTCATGATAGTGAATAAGTATCACAAGATCTGATGGTTTTATAAGAGGCAGTTCCCCTGCACATGCTGTCTTGCCTGCCACCATGTAAGATGTGCCTTTGCTCTTCCTTCACCTTCCGCCATGACTGTGAGGCCTCCCCAGACATGTGGAACTGTAAATCCATTAAACTTCTTTTTCTTTATAAATTACCCAGTCTTGGGTATTTCCTCATAGCAGTATGAGAACGGACTAATACACTGCCCTACCTTCAATCAGCTTGGTAAATTAGCCTTAAGTATGTGCATACTTAGAGTTGTGCAGACATCATAGAGTGTAAATCACATGGTTATAAGTAGATACATACCATATTTAAAGATTCATACTGATTATACTGTATGTTCCCAAAATTAAATTGGAGTCATTAATTAGTACAATATTACCTAATTTAGTTTAACTACTTGCTCTCTAATTTCTGCTATGAATGCCTATATCAATATGAACTAACTCTGGATTCATTTAAGCCTTCTTGATTTTCTTGCCATACCTCTGAGTTCTGTGATGCTACAAGACACTAATTTCCAATTCATATCATTATAAATTAAGACATTTTAATTTAAAAACTATAACATAAAGCCAGTATAATCTAGTTAAGGGTACAATGAGACGAGATCACACTACTGCACTCCAGCCTGGGCAACAGACTAAAATCCTGTCTCAAAAAAAAAAAAAAAAAAAAAAAAATCTACTTACCACAGAGTGAACTAGGATCTAAATCCAAGTCTGTCCAACTCCAAATCTAGTGAAGAATCCAGGGTTTAGATCCACATCTGATTTTGAAGTTCATGATCTCATATCACCACCTCACTCTATCATTAATCTAAAACTTCTTTATTCATTCTGTCTCCCCAATCAATATCATACACTCTGCTTTATTTATTTCCTGGAATGTGACTATCTGAAGTCGTTTTTTCATTTACTGGTTTACTTATTTATGGACATCCCCCTTCACTTGACTATGATCTCCTTAGGGGGGATTTTGTCTCATTTACCAATGCATCACTAGTTATCAATATCAAATAGTAATCAATAATTATTTATTCAGGGGCCAGGCGCAGTGACTCACCTCTGTAATCTCAGCACTTTGGGAGGCCGAGGTGGGCAGATCACGAGGTCAGGAGATCGAGACCATCCTGGCTAACACGGTGAAACCCCATCTCTACTAAAAAATACAAAAAATTAGCCGGGAGTGGTGGCGGGCACCTGTAGTCCCAGCTACTCGGGAGGCTGAGGCAGGAGAATGGCATGAACCCAGGAGTTGGAGCTTGCAGCGAGCCGAGATTGTGCCACTGAACTCCAGCCTGGGCGACAGAGCGAGACTCCATCTCAAAAAAAAATTATTATTATTATTATTTCTTCAATAGCTAAATGAATATGAACATTTTCTATTTCAGCTCCACAGCCTCTGAAAACTGTTGATGCAAAGCAAAAAGACTTTAGCCAAAATTTTAATATAGGCTTTTTCAAACACACAGTCAAGTGGAAAGAATAACATGATAAAATCCATATAAACTCCAAATGAATTCTGAATTCAGTTACTTTTAGAATTTTCCGTATTTGGCAGAGGTTGGTGGCACATGCCTGTAATCCCAACACTTTGGGAGCAGGCAGATCACCTGAGGTCAGGAGTTTGAGACCAGCCTGGCCAACACGGCGACACCCCATCTCTACTAAAAATACAAAAATTAGCCAGACGTGGTGTCATGCATCTGTAATGCCAGCTACGCAGGTGGCTGAGGCATAGAATTGTTCGAACCTCTGAGGCTGAGGTTGCAGTAAGCCCAGATGGCACTACTACACTCCAGCCTGGGTGACCAAAAAAAGAAGAAGAAGAAGAATTCTTCCATATTCTCTCTCTCTTCTTTAATTTCTATTTTATTTTATAAACATATCAAAAATTGGCAACCATTTAATATTTATAAGATATGAGGGACATATGCCAACAAGTAAAAGATCAAAACCCATGAGTATCCAATGGAAAAACTATTATGTAAAGAGATGATCAACCACACTGATTTTTATGTGGATGCAAATTAAAACATGAGGCACCACTTTATATACATCACTTTGACAAAAACTAGAAATATCACCAAATGTTTGTGAGATTATGGAGAAATAGGAATCTTGTGCATCGTGGCAGGCATGAAGAGCAACAGAGCCCTTTTAGTCTGGCAGTGTGAACTGTGGTATGGAATGTGCATCGCCTAAGACACAGCAATCTTTCTCCTCAGTATATGTCCAGAGAAATATGTGCAGAGATACCAAAGGAGTTGTGTGTCATTATGTTTATCACAGCATTATTTGTGATAGAAGGAAGTTGGAAGCAATTTAGGTGCACTTTGCTAGGGAAATAAAGTAGAATAAATGTGTACTATGGAATACTATGATCAGAGCAAAATGACACATAGGAAAATAGGCATAAATCAAGAAAACATAGTGAAGAATAAGAAAATCAAAAAATGAATGAGATTAAAATACGCTATCACTTATATAAATATAAAGCATACAAATATAAAACAATATTTTATATTTTTCAGATTCCATATATATACATATATATGTGTAATCTGAAAAAATACATATATCCAAATGCAGTTGAGTGGTCAGGGGTGGCTTGAAAATAACAAGAAGATAAAAGGTGAACAAAGAGAAAAGAGGATAGCATACCATGAACAGAGGAATTTGATTGATTTTGTTTTCTGCAGATAATTTTTTAACTTCTCAATAAAATAAAATAAAAGTAATGTAAAACTCTACTTAGTTCATTTGCAAATTTCTGCCTGTCATAAACCTTGTGCCCATCAACAATGCATAATTTCCTAATGGTTGATCATTTCTGTATATAATTACTTTTCTGTTAAGAACTCTTGGGCTTGCAAAATAGACCCCAAATAGCCAATTCAATCCTAAGCAAAAAGAACAAAGCTGGAGGCATCACGTTACCCTACCTCAAACTATACTACAGGGCTACAGTAATCAAAATAGCATGGTACCAGTACAAAAACAGACACACAGACCAATGGAACAGAATAGAGAACCCAGAAATAAGACTGTATACCTGCCACTATCTAATCTTTGACAAATCTGACAAAAACAAGCAATGGATAAATTTATTGAATGGGGAAAAGATTTTCCATTCAATAAATAATGCTGGGATAACCGGCTAGCCATATGCCAAAGTTTAAAACTGGACCCCTTCCTTACACATTATACAAAAATTTACTCAAGATGGATTAAAGGCTTAATTACAAAACCCAAAACTATAAAAACCCAGAAGACAACCTAGACAATATCATTCAGGACATAGGCATGGGCAAAGATTTCATGACAAAGACACCAAAAGCAATTGCAACAAAAGCAAAAATTGACAAATGGGATCTAATTAAAGAGCTTCTGCACATCAAAAGAAACAATCAACAGACTAAACAGACAACTACAGAATGGGAGAAAAATTTTTGCAACCTATGCATCCTACAAAGGGCTAATGTTCAGCATCTACAAGGAACTTTAACAATTTCCAAGAAAAAACAACCCCATTAAAAACTGGTTGAGGAGGAGCCAAGATGGCCGAATAGGAACAGCTCCAGTCTACAGCTCCCAGCGTGAGCGACGCAGAAGACGGGTGATTTCTGCATTTCCATCTGAGGTACCGGGTTCATCTCACTAGGCAGTGCCAGACAGTGGGCGCAGGTCAGTGGGTGCGCGCACCATGTGCAAGCCGAAGCAGGGCGAGGCATTGCCTCACTTGGGAAGCGCAAGTGGTCAGGGAGTTCCCTTTCCGAGTCAAAGAAAGGGGTAAAGGACGCACCTGGAAAATCGGGTCACTCCCACCCGAATACTGCGCTTTTCCGACCGGCTTAAAAAACGGCGCACCACGAGATTATAAGCCGCACCTGGCTCGGAGGGTCCTACTCACAGGGAGTCTCGCTGATTGCTAGCACAGCAGTCTGAGATCAAACTGCAAGGCGGCAGCGAGGCTGGGGGAGGGGCGCCCGCCGTTGCCCAGGCTTGCTTAGGTAAACAAAGCAGCCGGGAAGCTCGAACTGGGTGGAGCCCACCACAGCTCACGGAGGCCTGCCTGCCTCTGTAGGCTCCACCTCTGGGGGCAGGGCACAGACAAACAAAAAGACAGCAGTAACCTCTGCAGACTTAAATGTCCCTGTCTGACAGCTTTGAAGAGAGCAGTGGTTCTCCCAGCACGCAGCTGGAGATCTGAGAACGGGCAGACTGCCTCCTCAAGTGGGTCCCTGACCCCTGACCCCCGAGCAGCCTAACTGGGAGGCACCCCCCAGCAGGGGCACACTGACACCTCACACGGCAGGGTATTCCAACAGACCTGCAGCTGAGGGTCCTGTCTGTTAGAAGGAAAACTAACAAACAGAAAGGACATCCGCACCAAAAACCCATCTGTACATCACCATCATCAAAGACCAAAAGTAGATAAAACCACAAAGATGGGGAAAAAACAGAACAGAAAAACTGGAAACTCTAAAACGCAGAGCACCTCTCCTCCTCCAAAGGAACGCAGTTCCTCACCAGCAACGGAACAAAGCCGGATGGAGAATGACTTTGATGAGCTGAGAGAAGAAGGCTTCAGACGATCAAATTACTCTGAGCTACGGGAGGACATTCAAACCAAAGGCAAAGAACTTGAAAACTTTGAAAAAAATTTAGAAGAATGTATAACTAGAATAACCAATACAGAGAAGTGCTTAAAGGAGCTGATGGAGCTGAAAACCAAGGCTCGAGATCTACGTGAAGAATGCAGAAGCCTCAGGAGCTGATGCGATCAACTGGAAGAAAGGGTATCAGCAATGGAAGATGAAATGAATGAAATGAAGCGAGAAGGGAAGTTTAGAGAAAAAAGAATAAAAAGAAATGAGCAAAGCCTCCAAGAAATATGGGACTATGTGAAAAGACCAAATCTACGTCTGATTGGTGTACCTGAAAGTGATGGGGAGAATGGAACCAAGTTGGAAAACACTCTGCAGGATATTATCCAGGAGAACTTCCCCTATCTAGCAAGGCAGGCCAACGTTCAGATTCAGGAAATACAGAGAACGCCACAAAGATACTCCTCGAGAAGAGCAACTCCAAGACACATTGTCAGATTCACCAAAGTTGAAATGAAGGAAAAAATGTTAAGGGCAGCCAGAGAGAAAGGTCGGGTTACCCTCAAAGGGAAGCCCATCAGACTAACAGTGAATGTCTCGGCAGAAACCCTACAAGCCAGAAGAGAGTGGGGGCCAATATTCAACATTCTTAAAGAAAAGAATTTTCAACCCAGAATTTCATATCCAGCCAAACTAAGCTTCATAAGTGAAGGAGAAATAAAATACTTTACAGACAAGCAAATGCTGAGAGATTTTGTCACCAGCAGGCCTGCCCTAAAAGAGCTCCTGAAGGAAGCGCTAAACATGGAAAGGAACAACCGGTACCAGCCACTGCAAAATCATGCCAAAATGTAAAGACCATCAAGACTAGGAAGAAACTGCATCAACTAACGTGCAAAATAACCAGCTAACATCATAATGACAGGATCAAATTCACACATAACAATATTAACTTTAAATGTAAATGGACTAAATGCTCCAATTAAAAGACACAGACTGGCAAATTGGATAAAGAGTCAAGACCCATCAGTGTGCTGTATTCAGGAAACCCATCTCACGTGCAGAGACACACATAGGCTCAAAATAAAAGGATGGAGGAAGATCTACCAAGCAAATGGAAAACAAAAAAAGGCAGGGGTTGCAATCCTAGTCTCTGATAAAACAGACTTTAAACCAACAAAGATCAAAAGAGACAAAGAAGGCCATTACATAATGGTAAAGGGATCAATTCCACAAGAAGAGCTAACTATCCTGAATATATATGCACCCAATACAGGAGCACCCAGATTCATAAAGCAAGTGCTTAGTGACCTACAAAGAGACTTAGACTCCCACACATTAATAATGGGAGACTTTAACACCCCACTGTCAACATTAGACAGATCAACGAGACAGAAAGTCAACAAGGATACCCAGGACTTGAACTCAGCTCTGCACCAAGCAGACCTAATAGACATCTACAGAACTCTCCACCCCAAATCAACAGAATATACATTTTTTTCAGCACCACACCACACCTATTCCAAAATTGACCACATACTTGGAAGTAAAGCTCTCCTCAGCAAATGTAAAAGAACAGAGATTATAACAAACTATCTCTCAGACCACAGTGCAATCAAACTAGAACTCAGCATTAAGAATCTCACTCAAAACCGCTCAACTACATGGAAACTGAACAACCTGCTCCTGAATGACTACTGGGTACATAACGAAATGAAGGCAGAAATAAAGATGTTCTTTGAAACCAACGAGAACAAAGACACAACATACCAGAATCTCTGGGACACATTCAAAGCAGTGTGTAGACGGAAATTTATAGCACTAAATGCCCACAAGAGAAAGCAGGAAAGATCCAAAATTGACACCCTAACATCACAATTAAAAGAACTAGAAAAGCAAGAGCAAACACATTCAAAAGCTAGCAGAAGGCAAGAAATAACTAAAATCAGAGCCGAACTGAAGGAAATAGAGACACAAAAAACCCTTCAAAAAATTAATGAATCCAGGAGCTGCTTTTTTGAAAGGATCAACAGAATTGATAGACCACTAGCAAGACTAATAAAGAAAAAAAGAGAGAAGAATCAAATAGACACAATAAAAAATGATAGAGGGGATATCACCACCGATCCCACAGAAATACAAACTACCATCATAGAATACTACAAACACCTCTACGCAAATAAACTAGAAAATCTAGAAGAAATGGATAAATTCCTCGACACATACACTCTCCCAAGACTAAACCAGGGAGAAGTTGAATCTCTGAATAGACCAATAACAGGATCTGAAATTGTGGCAATAATCAATAGTTTATCAATCAAAAAGAGTCCAGGACCAGATGGATTCACAGCCGAATTCTACCAGAGGTACAAGGAGGAACTGGTACCATTCCTTCTGAAACTATTCCAATGAATAGAAAAAGAGGGAATCCTCCCTAACTCATTTTATGAGGCCAGCATCATCCTGATACCAAAGCCGGACAAAGACACAATGAACAAAGAGAATTTTAGACCAATATCCTTGATGAACATTGATGCAAAAATCCTCAATAAAATACTGGCAAAATGAATCCAGCAGCACATCAAAAAGCTTGTCCACCATGATCAAGTGGGCTTCATCCCTGGGATGCAAGGCTGGTTCAATATACGCAAATCAATAAAGGTAATCCAGCATATAAACAGAGCCAAGACAAAAACCACATGATTATCTCAATAGAGGCAGAAAAAGCCTTTGACAAAATTCAACAACCCTTCATGCTAAAAACTCTCAATAAATTAGGTGTTGATGGGACGTATCTCAAAATAATAAGAGCTATCTATGACAAACCCACAGCCAATATCATACTGAATGGGCAAAAACTGGAAGCATTCCCTTTGAAAACTGGCACAAGACAGGGATGCCCTCTCTCACCACTCCTATTCAACATAGTGTTGGAAGTTCTGGCCAGGGCAATTAGGCAAGAGAAGGAAATAAAGGGTATTCAATTAGGAAAAGAGGAAGTCAAATTGTCCCTGTTTGCAGATGACATGATTTTATATCTAGAAAACCCCATTGTCTCAGCCCAAAATCTCCTTAAGCTGATAAGCAACTTCAGCAAAGTCTCAGGATACAAAATCAATGTACAAAAATCACAAGCATTCTTATACACCAATAACAGACAAACAGAGAGCCAAATCATGAGTGAACTCCCATTCACAATTGCTTCAAAGAGAATAAAATACCTAGGAATCCAACTTACAAGGGATGTGAAGGACCTCTTCAAGGAGAACTACAAACCACTGCTCAAGGAAATAAAAGAGGATACAAACAAATGGAAGAACATTCCATGCTCATGGGTAGGAAGAATCAATATAGTGAAAATGGCCATACTGCCCAAGGTAATTTACAGATTCAATGCCATCCCCATCAAGCTACCAATCACTTTCTTCACAGAATTGGAAAAAAATACTTTAAAGTTCATATGGAACCAAAAAAGAGCCCGCATTGCCAAGTCAATCCTAAGCCAAAAGAACAAAGCTGGAGGCATCATGCTACCTGACTTCAAACTATACTACAAGGCTGTGGTAACCAAAACAGCATGGTACTGGTACCAAAACAGAGATATTGATCAATGGAACAGAACAGAGCCCTCAGAAATAACGCCACATATCTACAACTATCTGATCTTTGACAAACCTGAGAAAAACAAGCAATGGGGAAAGGATTCCCTATTTAATAAATGGTGCTGGGAAAACTGGCTAGCCATATGTAGAAAGCTGAAACTGGATCCCTTCCTTACACCTTACACAAAAATCAATTCAAGATGGATTAAAGACTTAAACATTAGACCTAAAACCATAAAAACCCTAGAAGAAAACCTAGGCGTTACCATTCAGGACATAGGCATGGGCAAGGACTTCATGTCTAAAACACCAAAAGCAATGGCAACAAAAGCCAAAATTGACAAATGGGATCTAATTAAACTAAAGAGCTTCTGCACAGCAAAAGAAACTACCATCAGAGTGAACAGAAAACCTACAAAATGGGAGAAAATTTTCGCAACCCACTCATCTGACAAAGGGCTAATATCCAGAATCTACAATGAACTCAAACAAATTTACAAGAAAAAAACAAACAACCCCATCAAAAAGTGGGCGAAGGACATGAACAGACACTTGTCAAAAGAAGACATTTATGCAGCCAAAAAACACATGAAAAAATGCTCACCATCACTGGCCATCAGAGAAATGCAAATCAAAACCACAATGAGATACCATCTCACACCAGTTAGAATGGCAATCATTAAAAAGTCAGGAAACAACAGGTGCTGGAGAGGATGTGGAGAAATAGGAACACTTTTACACTATTGGTGGGACTGTAAACTAGTTCAACCATTGTGGAAGTCAGTGTGGCGATTCCTCAGGGATCTAGAACTAGAAATACCATTTGACCCAGCCATCCCATTACTGGGTATATACCCAAAGGACTATAAATCATGCTGCTATAAAGACACATGCACACGTATGTTTATTGCGGCATTATTCACAATAGCAAAGACTTGGAACCAACCCAAATTTCCAACAATGATAGACTGGATTAAGAAAATGTGGCACATATACACCATGGAATACTATGCAGCCATAAAAAATGATGAGTTCATGTCCTTTGTAGGGACATGGATGAAATTGGAAATCATCATTCTCAGTAAACTATCGCAAGAACAAAAAACCAAACACTGCATATTCTCACTCATAGGTGGGAATTGAACAATGAGATCACATGGACACAGGAAGGGGAATATCACACTCTGGGGACTGTGGTTGGGTTGGGGGAGCGGGGAGGGATAGCACTGTGAGATATACCTAATGCCAGATGACGAGTTAGTGGGTGCAGCGCACCAGCATGGCGCATGTATACATATGTAACTAACCTGCACAATGTGCACATGTACCCTAAAACTTAAAGTATAATAATAAATAAATAAATAAATAGATAAATAAATAAATAAAGGAAAAAGAAAAGAAAAAAGGAGAAAAGAAAAAAAAAGTGGTTGAAGGAGCTGGACACAGTGGCTCATGCCTGTAATCCCAGCACTTTGGGAGGCCAAGGCCGGCAGATCACTTGAGGTCAGGAGTTCAAGACCAGCCTAGCCAACAGGCGAAACCCCGTCTCTACTAAAAATACAAAAATTAGCCAGGCAGGGTGGTGCACATCTGTAATCCCAACCACTTGGGAGGCTGAGGCACAAGAATCGCTTGAACCTGGAAGGTGGAGGTTGCAGTGAGCAGAGATCGCACCACTGCACTCCAGCCTGGACACCAAAGCGAGAGACCAACTCAATCAATCCATCAATCAATTAATTAATTAAAGTAAAAATTAAAAGTGGGTAAAGGATATGAACAGACACTTCTCAAAAGAAGACATACATGGGGCCAACAATCATGAAAAAAAGCTCAACATCACTGATCATTAGAGAAATGTAAATCAAATTCACTATGTGATATCATCTCACACCAGTCACATTGACTTTCATTAAAAAGTCAAAAAATAACATATGCTGGCAAGATTGTGGAGAAAAGGATCACTTATACACTGTTTATGGGAGTGTAAATTAGTTCAGCCATTGTAGAAGACGATGTGGTGATTCCTCAAAGACCTAAAAACAGAAATACTATTTGACCCAGCAATCTCATTACTGTGTATAAAGGAATATAAATTGTTCTATTATAAAGACAGATGCATGCATATGTTCATTGCAGCACTATTCATAATAGCAAAGACATGGAATCAACTTAAATGCCCATCAGTGATAGACTGGATGAAGAAAATATGGTACATATACACATTTGTGGTGATTTTCCAAAACAGTCAGTAGACAAAATATACCTGTTATAGCTCCATAGTGGAATATTATGCAGTCATAAAAAAGAAAGAGATCATGTCCTTTGCAGGGACATGGATGGAGCTGGGAGCCGTTATCCTTAGCAAACTAACACAGGAACAGAAAAACAAATACTGCATGTTCTCACTTATAAGTGGGAGCTAAATGATGAAAAAACATGGATGTATAGAGGGAAACAACATACACTGGGGCCCATCAGAGGGTGGAGGGTGGAAGCAGGGAGAGGATCAGGAAACATAACTAATGGGTACTAGGCTTAATACCTGGGTGATGAAATAATCTGTACAACAAATCCCATGACACAAGTTTATCTAGGTAACAAACCTGCACATGTACCCCTGAACTTAAAATGAAAGTTAAAAAAAAATAGAAATAAAATAAAAAATTTAATTTTTGAAAAAACTTAGGTCTTCCACTATAAAACTCATGCTTATGAGAACATGTATGGATATGTTTAGATCAATAAGAAATATTATTCTATACTCACAAAACTGAATTAAAGGATGAGAGCTTCACAAATAATAGGATAAACTGATATCATTTATACCTCTTGACATGCGATGCACTGAGAAAAACACAATACCATTTATGTAGCATTCTTGCCAAAGATCTGAACCTGTATTTAATAGTGAAGAAAAAAATCAGAACATGACCATACGCCTGGACTTTTCAAAAATGCCAATATCATTAAAGACCAAAAAAAAAAAAAAAGAGTGCTGCTCTAGATCAGAGGTTAGCAAACTATAGGCCGTAGGATAAATCCAGTTTGCTGCCTGATTTTATACAGTCAACAAACTAAGAATGATTTTTATATTTAAAATTGTTGGAAAAAATCAAAGGAAGAATAATATTTTGTGAATCATGAATTTTATATGAAATTCAAATCTCAGAGGCCATAAAAAGTTGGCCAGGCGCAGTGGCTTACGCTTGTAATCCCAGCACTTTGGGAGGCCAAGGCGGGTGGATCACCTGAGGTCAGGAGTTTGAGACCAGCCTGGCCAACATGGTGAAACCTCGTCTCTAATAAAAATACAAAAAAAAAAAAAAATTAGCCAGGCATGGTGGCAGGTGCCTGTAATCTCAGCTACTTGGGAGGCTGAGGCAGGAGAATCACTTGAATCCGGGAGACAAAGGTTGCAGTAAGCCAAGGCCACGCCATTGCACTCCAGCCTGGGCAACAACCGTGAAACTCCATCTCAAAAAAAAAAAAAAGTGTATTGGCCACAGCCACACTCATTCATTTACATATTGTCTATGGCTCCTTTTGTGCCACAATAGCAGAGCTGAGTAGCTGCAACAGAAAATATATGGGGTAGCCCACAAAACCCAAAATATTTACTGTCTGAGCCATCACAGAAAGTTTGCCAACCTCTCCCCAGATTAGTAGTGATTAAAAACACATAACTTGATCATCGAATGACTCAAGATAAGAGGAATAAGAACAGTATTTGAACAACTGAGAAAATTTCAATATAGGCTATATATTAGATTAAAAGCATTGTAGCTATGTAAAATTTCTCTGGTCTTGTATTTCTATAAGAAAATCTTCTTGTTCTCAGTAAATATGTGTAAATATATACCAAAATATTAGCAGTGCAGTTTCATGATGTCTGCAACATACTTTCAAATATTTCAGAGAAAAACTGTGTGTGTTTGTGTGTATATGTGAAAAGACAGAGAAAGCAAATGTGGCAAAATGTTAATAATTAGTGAACGTAGGTAAAGGGTATATGGTTGTTCTATTTTTTTCAAATTCTTATTGAAGTTAACATTTTTCAAAATAAAAGGCTGGGAGACAAAAGAACGTTAAGAGAAAACAAAGGATACAATAGATTTTTAAAAAATGATCATTTTCTTTTGAGTTTTCAGGAAGTGATAATATTTTCCCCAAATGCATTAGCTCATTCTCTTCCTGAGGAAACACTAATAGTAAAATGGATTTTCCCAGCTCAGCTGAGGAATCTAGGACCCATTCTTAATTCCTCTCCTTCCCTTACCATATCAAATCCATCTTCAAAGAATATCCAGAACCTGATTCCACTCCACTGCCACCATTCTGGCTCAATCCACCATCATTTGTCACTTGATGCTACAATAGCCTCCTTGCTGGTCTCTTTGCTTTCTCTCTCCACCAAGTAGCTTTTTAATTCATGATTTTATCATCCTAAATAAGATCATGAGACTTTTCCAAACTTTCCCATGCTTTCACATCTCATTTAAATAAAATGAAAATCCTATAGATCAGTGGTCCCTAATATTTTTGGCCCCAGGGACTGGTTTCAAGGAAGACAGTTTTTCCGTGGGAAGGGACAGTGTGGGGATAGTTTGGGGATTAAACTGTTCCACCTCAGATCATCAGGCATTAGATTATCATAAGGAGAGTGCAACCTAGATCCCTTGCATGAGCAGTTCACAATAGGGTTCCTGTCCTATGAGAATCTAATGCCACCACTGATCTGACAGGAGGCGGAGCTCAGGAGGTAATGCTCGCTAGCCCGCTGCTCACCTCCTGCTGTGCCACCCAGTTTTTAATAGGCCACAGACCGGTATTCGTATCCGTCCAAGGCCCAGGGGTTAGGGACCCCCAGGTATAGGTAACCTGTAAGACCTGTACAACATGGCCTTTCCTCATCTCCCTAACATTATCTCCAACCACTCTTTCTCTCACATGCATAAAACATTTTGCCATATCAAGATCTTTATATTCTCTGTTTATTACTCCTGCCTATTCCCAAGTCTTTTTACGTCCAAAATCTTCATTTTGCATCACATCAGTATTCTGCCCAGATTTGCCTCCCCAAGGAGAATTGTCTTCACCAGTCTATCTAAAATAACCAAAATTCTTTCTACCAGTCACTCTCTATTTCCTTAATGTGATTTATTTTCCCCACAGATTAATGAAAGTATGGAATTATATGTGTTTACATGCTTATTGTTTGTTTGTCATAGGCTTCTGGCATTTACACATTAGAATGTAAACTCCATAAGGGAAAATATTATTTTACCCATTCATTGTCATATTGTCATGTAACCATATATTTGCTGAATGTATGCTCATTAAATTCATTTATTCAATGCTTATTTATTGAATACCTAATATATGAGAGGCGCTGCTATGGTTACTTAATCCACATTAGTGAATAAAACAAAAACACATGCCCTCACAGAGCTTACATTTCTATCAAGGAAGAACATTCTAAAGTATATGGAAGGAAAAGGGTCATGGGAAGGATGAGTGCATGTCTATTTGGATAAGTGTCAAAGTGACTTTCCAAAACACTTAGTAGACAACACATACCCATTACAGCTCAATTAATGATTAACCTCAGTATTGAAAATGTGGAAGTTGTTTAAAATTGGATGGGGGTTGCAACTGAAAAGGAGATTTGTGGACAGAGAGGGGGGTTAGGAGGCCCAGAGAAAACACTATTGGGATTGGAAAGCATGAGAGATTACGTTTTCTGGCAATGTCAAGAACGACAAGAATATAAAGGAATTAGCTGATGTTAGGATTCCAGCTGGGCCACTGGTGTGATGTGGGGCCTGACTGGTGAGGGATAGGGGTTGTGGCAGTTCTGAATAAGAAAGGACATAAGCTCTGTCTCCCCGAGATCTCCTGACTTCTTCCTGTCCTGGGGAGATGAATTCAGATTGAAGCTGCTCAAGACTAGTGTACAATAAACTGTTGGCTGTTAAAAGACTCACACTGACTTCTCTGTCCTCATTCAGTTACAAACAATACATCTGGATTTTCTCAGCTTGAGTAAAGCTACCAACCAACCTAACCCTTCCTATTTCAATAATAACACTTCCTCTCTTATATGTGGGCCCCAACATTCTCAGATCTTACTCTGTCTACCTAACCTTCTATCTTCTTTCCATTGCTCTTTCTCCCATTTCCCTGGCCTGCTCAGTAGCGACAATCCCATCAATTTGTATCTTACCCCAAACTTTCACTTCACTCCCATCCCCAAAACAACTGCAATCTCATAGCCCAGAGTTACTTCTGGCCCTAAATCTGCACCACCGCTAGAGGTGAGGAGTTTAGAAAAGCTGAACGAACAGCTAGAGGACTGCTCAATGTTCCATATCTTGTATCAAATGCTTTATGAAAACCTTAATCTATTTGCAACAACCCTACAACACAAGTATATTCACAATTACTATATTCACAATTACCTAGGAAGTAACTAAAATTTATAACAGTTGAACTGGGATTCAAATCCAGAAAGGCCACCTCTAAAAATATTCTCTAGATTTTGGAGAACTTAGAAAAGAAAGCACCAAAAACTAGATTTTATTGTTTAAAGGAAAAATTAATTTTTATTTGTTGAATATCTTACAATTATGGCAAAATCTGACTATATATTTTATCCTTAGTCTTCATAGTTGCTTGCTCACAGGATAAAATATTCTGTTCAACAGTCAAAAACAAAACAGAAAAAACATTAGTGGAGATTTTAAAAGCTCAACATTAAATTCTGAAAATTATAGACCAGCAAAATTATGGAATGCTTGCAGAACTGACACCTTGCGAGCACTTAGAAAATGACAGTCGCTAAATTCCAGCATACATTCACTAATAATACATCATTGTGTATTTTTAGAAGTTATCATTGAGTGAGTAAATGAATGAAGGAATATCTGGCCCAACCAAATATCTATTTTAATAGAATTACTATACTAGTAGATATAGAGAATAGCAAATTACAGTGCATTATGTTTCAGCAAGAGATTGGACGGACACTATCCTTTGGCCCAGATGGAAAAATGTAAAGCAGATGATAACAGTTTCACACATATGCAGCTAATTTCCTGAATAGATCTAGAAAATATGTATTTCTAGGCAATAAAACCTTTACCTTCATCATGACTTTATCTACCTGTGATGCACATAAATCTCTACACTTCTAATAACCCTGAATCCATATTTAATCTGCCACAAATATTAGAATATTTGATAATTGGCCTTTTGGAGAAATCCGTTAATATACTTTGAGGAACAGATATGTTATGAATACAACTGGAAAGCTTGCAATAAACTTTCTAATTCCTTTCAGTAGAGTTGTAAGCACTGTGTAGAATAGCCAAAACAAACATCTGTCAATTAACCCAATAAATTAGCCATAAATATTACAAATTTTTGCTACCAGTAAAGTTTTGGGGTTTTGGTTTGTTTTTTTCCTTTTGAGACAGGGTCTCCTCTGTCTCCCAGGCTGAAGTGCAGTGGTGTGATCATGACTAACTGCAGCCTGGACCTCCCGGGCCCAAGCGATCCACCCACCTCAGCCTTCTGAATAGCTAGGAGTACAGCCGTGCACCACCATGCCCGGATAATTTTTGTATTTTGAGTAGACACGGGGTTTTGCCACATTGCCCAGACTTGTCTCAAACTCCCGGGCTCAAGTAATCTGCTCGCCTAGGCCTCCCAAAGTGCTGGGATTACACGCGTGAGCCGCCGCGCCCAGCCAAAGTTTACTTTAAATAAAGCCAATTTATCAAATTTAAAATCTAATTTTTTTCATATTTAGCTCTTCCTTTGTAGTAGCTGTAGTATGTTTGTCATTCTGTGTCAGTAGTAAAAGCATCTCTAGTAGTATAAGCATTCAATTCCCCAATTCTCATAATATTTTTTTTTTGAGACAGGGTCCCCCTCTGCTACCCAGGCTAGAGTGCGGTGGTGCAATTATAGCTCACTGCAGCCTCAAACTCCTGAGCTTAAGCAATAATTTATTTTAATAATATTCACCTTTATAAAAAATTTACTATATGCCTGGTATTGTGCTAATTGTTTTACATATTTTTCCCTCATTCATACACAATCATATAAGGTAAAGATTTTTATACTCATTTTATAAACAGTGAGACTGCATCTGTGAAGTCCATTCTTGGGATGAAACAAAAAGTTTAAATGTTAAACAATATTATATAGAATTTATGAACTTTTAAATTTCTTTTTAATTACCATTCAAAAATCCAGAATTTGGGTTTATGCTAGGAAAATAATCCTAGCATGTGCACACACACGAATAGATGTATATGTGCATATATGCATATATATTTCTGCACTTTATGTGTATCTTTTTTTTATAAATCAGAAAATTTAAGTGGGCTAACTTTATATTTTATAAATGTAGTCGATGTTTTCCCCAGAATATGAGCACATAATTGGTTTGCACTTGCAATAAACACTACCCTTTCCTTTGCTTTTCTCTGTTAAAAAATAGTGAAATAGGCTTGAGAATATTTTTACAATGAAAAAAATAATTGGTGCGAAATTTATTTAATCAACATACATCGCAATCTTCAACTCTATTTTTTCAAGATGAACTGGTATTTCTTCTATATTATGAACTCTGAGATTTTTCATAAATATTAAAATTTTTCTGTAGTTTTTGGCATAACTCTCAATTCTCTCTTCTCAATAGATCTAATTTTGATTTGTTAAATGTCCATTTTATTGACCTTTATGGTTTTATATTTGATAATTACTATAAAGCCTTTTGTCCTTACCTCTGTGATTCTGAATCTTTCTAAAGCTTTGATTCCTTATCTTTTGTTTTATTCTTAAAATCATGCCTAACTTTAAATAATTTTACATGTTTATAGCTATAAATGAATCTGTGATTAGCTAATAACGCTGTCTCAAAGCCAAAATTGAAAATTGCTATTCTAATTATATCATCTATCAAAAATATTTTGTAAGATCAGCATGATAATTCACCACTTTCCTTTTTTACTGTATTTTAAAGTACCGTTAGCTTGTTGATCTACCTATGCTATTTAATATTTTGAAATCCTAAGAGACTGGATGCCCACAGAGCGACAGTAGATTAAGCTCCCTGGATACAGTTTTTTTGCATTGATGCACCACTGGTGCTATATTAAAATCAATTGTGTATACAATATATTTAATTTGTTTCTTCACTAGTTACCTGCTCATTTTAGGCTCCTCTGATTTACCTAATTCTTTAGTTTTCCACAGTCTTTCTTCTTTATGATCTTCAGGGACAGCATTAATATATTTTTAAGTTATTATATCTTATTAAGTAAAAGAATTACTATGTTCATTTATTTTTAATGATGCATAAGCCTTGTTTCTTTTGGGCTAACTAGGGAAGATTTCCTCCTAAGAATAGCCAGTGAAATAAGAACAAAATAAGAGCAGCCTACCTGTGTGTAAACTCATAGGTATTTGAAAAATCAAAGGTCGAAAGTTAGCAAAAGAAAAGGTGCAAGGTGAAGACACATTTTCTTGTCAATAATATGTGGGTTAAAGAAAACTGACCCCAAAATAATTTCTGTGTGAAGCTGATTTATTTTTATAACATGAAAACTTTACACTGTTTTTTATTATCACATCACTATCTCTGAATTTTTAGGAAGAGGTTTTTTTTTATTATTTGACTATAATCAACTTTCTTCCATTTATTCGACATTGCTCAAAGTCAATTAGACTAAAGACTAATTCTTTCAAGCTACTACCTTTCATATACAATCTCAGGTGATTTCAGATCTGATGATGTGATGACTAGACACTCAATATTCACCAGTTTCCATCTTATTTATCACACTTGGTTCATTTCCAAGGACTAAAGGCCTGAGTCATTAAAAATTATATGCCCCATTTAAGCAGGTTTTCTGCATACTTTACTCAGGGAAAAATGTTGAATACATTTTCCCCCATGTAAAATGACGTCTGTTTTATGATTTATCAACATTTAAACCTGGTATATAACTGGATGCCTCTATGCCTCATACACTAGTAGTGCATAATTTCTGAAAACAGCAAACTTAAGCAATGAAGGCATCCCTGCACAATGCCCCGCACACACCCCCAGGCATTTATTCTTGGGGGAAAATTTTCCAGAGTTGTATATTTCTAGTAACAGTGTATGGATTTTAACCTGCTTTCCTTAAATATCGAAACTAGGACACCCTTCCCTCAGGGGAAATTTACTCCACTGATTGTTTCAAAATAACAGATAATTTGAACTCCATTTTCTGTGTATATTGTTGAAAATTAAACTATATGTTTTCTAATAGGATTTAAGTGAATGTGTATTTTAAAAGTGTCTGAGAGATAACATTATTCAAGAGAAGAAATTATTAACTATATCAACTAATATTCTAGCAAATAAAATCATAGCTATAGAACATAAAAATACAGCTAACATTTATGATAACTTTTAATCCACACAGCTATCCTATAAAGCAAATTAGTATTATTATTATCCTCATTTTACAGGTAAGGAATCCAAGAATCAGAAGACTGATAAATATATCAAAGATTCCTCAGCTGTGCTAGCTTTAATAAGTAGTGAACACAGTGTTCTAAGGATTAGGTGTCAGGACTCCATCACTATGCTATTTTCTCACCCATTCTCTATTGCTCTATTTTGGAAACTTTCATACTTTTATTTCTTCATTACTACGTTAACAACTTCATCTTTTCTTACCTATGGTCTTCAAAATAATCACTTTAAGATTCTCTCCAATAATTGCGCGATTAGCAAAGCTAAGAAATATTTATTCTTACATTTTTACATTTTCACACTTTTATGTTTGATATGAGAATACATTTGGTTTTCAGTAAGAGGAGGAAATATTACCATCTAAGCAATACTGTTTTCAACTTCATGAACACAATATGTCTTTCCATTTACCTAAATTTTCTTTAATTTTGTTCAACAATATTCTGTAGTTCTTGGTATACATGTTTTGTACTTCTTTGTTAAATTTATCTATAAGTGCTTCATTATTTTTGATGCTATTATAAATTAAAAGAAGTATTTCCTAGTATTAATTTTCATAGTTCTGAAAAATAATTTTAAAAAGAATGTTTCTACTTGTTATATTCTGTGTTCTTTGGGGGTAGGGACTTTTCTTTTATTAGAATAGGCAATCTGTGTTTCTTTTTTCTTGAACTGGGATATGTCAAATTGAAAATGTGGATGCTGATACAACCTCTGCCAATACAACCTCTCCTCGGTACCTCCATCTCCCATTCCCATGTGGAGCATATAACGAAGTCTGTGAGCACATATTGATATAGAAATGATGACTCTATTGTTGGGTATGTGTTATAGAAGGCTTCTAGATAGAAAAGAAAATTGCTTATAAAAATCCTTCCTGGCCGGGTGCGGTGGCTCACGCCTGTAATCCCAGCACTTTGGGAGGCCGAGGCAGGTGGATCACGAGGTCAGGAAATCGAGACCATCCTGGCTAACACGGTGAAACCCCATCTCTACTAAAAATACAAAAAGAAATTAGCCGGACGTGGTGGCAGGCGCCTGTAGTCCCAGCTACTCGGGAGGCTGAGGCAGGAGAATGGCGTGAACCTGGGAGGCAGAGCTTTCAGTGAGTCGAGATCGCGCCACTGCACTCCAGCCTGGGCGACAGAGCGAAACTCCGTCTCAAAAAAAAAAAAAAAAAAATCCTTCCCCAAAAGTACCAAACGCAAAAAAAAAAAAAAAAAAAAAAAGTAGAAGAAGAAAGAACAGAAGTAGTGAACAAGATGACATAGATCACCTGCTCTACCACCTGGTCCCAGGGCATGGCACTTGCAGTGTCAGATCTTCTCCCTCTGTGGGGATGTGGCTATTGATATACGGGATGGCTTTGTTAGTTAGATTGACATCTATGAACATCTTCTCAACAAGATATTTCCTCCTACTTCTAGCAAGGGCTTTATCCTCCTATGATGCCTCCATCCTAGAAATCCCCATCATCCTGCAAAATAGGACCCAAGTTGAGTCCTGTTGACTCTTTTCCTCTGGAAAGATTGCCCCAAGGGTATAGGATCCAAAACACAGCCTGTGCTCTTGTTAGCTTGTTTTTCCTTAGAATCCACTCAGAAAAGCAGAGACATTAATCACTGTTGGCCTAACTACTTAAGGCCGAATAGAAGTTTAGTAATACTTAGCAACTGAAATATTTTTACAGCTAAATTTCACTGTCCAATACAATGTTATTTTGGTTAATATGCTCTAGACAATGTACAGTATTTTAAAACAAAACATTAGGTAAAAATTTTACCCTTTTTCCTTCTTAAGGTAATGGGGAGACGGTTATCATAAACAGTGTCTTTTGGAAAATCCTCCACAACACAGTCTAATGACTGCTTGTCTTTCTTTGCAAAAAAAATGTACATAAAGAGAAACCCAAGGAGCCTATTAAATGGCATATTATAGAAAATCAAAGTGAGGAAGAAGACACATGTACAACTATACTCAGAAAACATACACATACACACAGTAAACATACAAATTATGAATTGCTTCTAAGGTTTTTCATCAACATGTACATGCTATTACATCATTTGTTTCTCTCCTATCAATCACTAATAGACACAAGAAATGATGAAAAGAGAGTTAACATTTACTGAATTTCTCCAGGGTGGCACACACTCAACTTCATATACAATATTTCCTTTCACTTTGAAGACAACCTGATGAGGTATGTAAGTGTTGCTCCCATTTCAGATGAGGGAGCTGACCACAAGGCCATACTCCCCCTATTACACAGTGATGATAAAAATCTTAAAATGATGTATCAGTCAAAAACTTAAAATGAAGAGAATAATATTATATGATTTGTTTTCAATGAAGAAGACTTTCATTGTTTCATTTTTGCATATGACTCTTGACTCAGCTTTTATTGCATCAGTTTCCTCAAGAGATGTACCAAATGCTATCCTAAGTATTTTATATATATATAAACTATTTTAATTTTACCAGTAACCCATGAGGTTTATACGCTGTTATGATTACCACCCACATTGAACTGATGAAGAAAACAGGGGACTGGGAAATTAACATGGATGCCTAATGTAAGAAGCTACTGAGTAACAAAACAGGCTTTTGAGCCCAGGGAGTCCAAGGTCTGTGTCATTCTGTCCTATTGCTTCTTAGCACAGATGTTGGAAACCAGAGATTTGAGGATATGTGTGCTCAGCCAGTCATTAGGTGATGTGTATCTAGTCCTGATTTTACCACACATTAGCTGAAGACTTTGCAGAAGTCACTTAACATCTTTGGGCCTTACTTTCTTCTTCTGTAAAAGGAAGGAGTCACAGATACAGATGGCAAGGGTTAGCCAAAAAAATAAAAATAAAGCTGTTAGGAAGGAAAAATAAAGTATATTTTGATAAATCTTCATGTAATACTTGTGTTTAAGGGGCTTTTATAGCTCAACATCATCTCAATTTACCTTTTGGAGAACACAGATTATGGTTTCTAAATAATCATTCTGACTTCAAGGTGTATAATGGTGTCTCAATGGCTATTGAATCAAACCCAGATTTCTTTCATTGGTATACAAGTTCTTCTATAACATGTGTTTATTCAATTTTATTTCTTCCTACCCTCTGACTCAAGTTCTCTACTTTAGTTAGTATCTGTCTTATATATGTGCCTAGTTCATTCTCACCCCTCACTCTCTTGACCTCCTCATGGGAAAAACTTCTCCTCTCTATCCCTTCCAAATCCATGTCTTGTTCAACATACAGCTCAAACCCTTTCTTCCCCCCATTAAGCACTGTATTTTTCTCTCTCACATAGTTTAACCCTGGGACATAAAGAATCTTTTATTGTAAACTAACTAATCAATTTCCACTTGTTTTTCCACCAACTAGATTAAGAACTAAGGCCATATATTTCCTCCACTTATAACTTCTTCCCTCGGTAATCTACTGTGTACATTAATGAATTCAGTAAATGCATGTTGACTTATTCACTGACCTCTGATATGCATACTACACAAATACTTTGTACGTTAAACTATCATTTCCAGAGAATTCAGTAGCAAGTGCCAAAATGAAATTACATGTGGCTGAATCTTGTTTTAGGTTCTGTTTCTGAATATTGGAGATTTCAAATAGGAATAATGTGGAAAAATCATGCTTCCAAATGGATATCTAGGTAATGAGCATTTTAACAAATGACAACGCCTTGATTTGTTGAAGCAGTGCAGAACAGGAGAAATGACTGTAGGTTTACATCTTGGCTCAGCCACCAACCAGAGTGTTATTTGGGGCAAGTTATAGAATATACGTTTGGTGAAATGTGAACAATAGAACCAACAACAAGAAGTTGTGATGTGTTTTAAATGAAAGAACATAAGTGAGTCATTTCATGCCTGGCTCACGGTAAATAGCCAATAAATAAGCAAATGGTCTATATCTTGATTATAAAATGTTATACATTTGTCAAAACTCATCAAACAATATTCTTGAATATTACTATGTGTAAACACCCTAGTAAACCTGACTTTTAAAATAATGATATTAAAAATGAGAGGCTAGGCAGCCAGAATCACAATCAAAATTATATCACAGATCCCATCTGCTGAGGACACCACAACCAATGAGGCTAAGCATGGAACATTAGGTACTCCTGCTGACACTGCTTGACCTGCCACATTACCAGAATAAATTCCCATCTTTCCATGCTTCTCTGCATCCCTAGCTCCAAATTCAGAAGTCCCAGATGGATGGAGATGATTTGTTGAAATAGATCACATGCAACACCACGACTGTGAAGAACCTTAGGAAAAAGCATCCTATCTTGTTGGTTTCTGTAGTAAGAAAGCTGGCCAGAACTCAAATGAAGGAGAATTCTCAAACACAGAAAAAGCATTTTAAAAATCAACTACACTGCAACATTTAGAAATTTTTGCAAATTAATAAGAAAAAGACAGGCACATCAATATAACATTAAAGTATATAAAATGGCAATGCCCTTATCCCAAACATAATAACATTTGAAAATATTTGATATTTAATCTCACATTAATTACTAGTAATGAATGTTAAGTTAAAATTATAACATATTTTAAACATAAACTTGGCAAATCGGCTTTTTATGTGTCCAGGTTTGAAAAGGATTTGGGGAAATGAATACTTTAATAAACCGAGATGGCAGTATACATTGCTATTATAACATTTCTTGAGAGTACTTGGCAATACCTATTAAAACCTTCAAAAATGTTCATGCTCCTTGATCAAGCAATTTCATTTCTATGGATTCAACCTAATAAAATATTTTTAAAACTACACAAAGACAGATACACAAGTTTTGCTTCTAATAGCAAAATTTGGGGAAATTACCAAGGTCCAATTGTAGACAATTGATTACATAAACCATATGACATTCTTCATACTAAAGAATATTAATCACATAAAATTGTGTTGTGAATAATATTTAGTGACATGGAAAAAATAAATGTCCACTTCATCAAGTAAAATAAAGTTTATCAAGATTTGTGTACCTCTGATAAAATATCTTCACTTACATGGAAAGATACTGCAACTATACATACAAAATGTTAAGAGTGGTATTTCTGAATGGTGATAGCCTAAGTGGTTTTTTGTTTTGTTCAACTATTTTTTTTAAAAAACTATTTAACAAATGTGTCTTTTATATTGAGAAAAACAACAAACTTATTTTTTGAAGTTAGAAGTTGTCCTCTCAGCCTCCAAAGACTCATTTCCCTTAACTAATCATTATGTATTTATCATCTCTGGATGTATCCAATTCCATTTTAAAGCTAGTTTCACATTTTCCATCAAAATCACCTCCTTCAGTATCAAATTTCATATGTTTACTACCTGCAGCAAATTACATATTTTTTATTTGTGTTAAGATTTCCTCTTTTAAACTTCAAAAGAAGCTTGCATAAGAAAGGAATTAACATTTATTGAACACCTACTATGTGCCAGGAACTATTTAAATCCCATTCACATATGTTAGTTCATTTGCATTTAAGTCTGGTTCCAATTATACATAACTTTCATAATTTGACAGGCGTCAATCATTTTTCATTTTCGCCTGCATATTGCCAGACAGATGAGAGCACATATTTTTAGATTGTCCTCAGATGGCAGCACTCACATTCCCTTGATTCAGTTCAGGTGCCCTTTTCTGGACCTGCTCTAGCTATTCTTCTGGTTCCAAAATTCCACACATTGTTCTCCTGACTCTAATACTCTTTTTGATAATGCCCCAAAATTGCTGGCATTTGGGGAAGTAGGCTGCTTTCCTGTGGGAGAATCTACTCTTGGAAATCACTCAAGTAACCCCCAGTTCATAAGAATGAAAAGATTAGCAATATATTTCATCAGTATATTTTAAATATAAATTAAACCTACATCTCACACATCTGAGTCCCTGTTAATAACATAACAACAAATGCTTCCACGGCAATATATTTCTCAGTTCCTATTTTTAACGAGGTTCTACCTTCTGGAAGATGATCTTATTCATTCATTCTCTGTGCCTTGTCTGGACAACAAAGTAGATATGTTCTATGCCAAATTGATCTGGAAACCCGAAGAAACATAATTATCATTAAGCAATACTTTGGCTTCTAGGGTCAGGAGAAATCTCAAGGATTGGAAACTGAAGACTAAATCTGTTCATTTGGTTCAGCAATGCAGTCATTCTGTATTAAGAAGCTATGGCTAAAAATGACCCAAAATCACAGAACACCTCTGTTCTTTCTCTATGTCTCTCTCTCCAACAAAACATGTAAAGTAATTACAGTGATTGAGTTAAAAGGTTCTTGAAATTATGGTTATGCAAAGGATGGCAGGGAGTCACAGAATGACCTTGGTAACCCCAGCAAGCTGATCTCTCTACAAGATCATCCTAAAAAACTTTGGTTTCTATTCTTCAGGAGCTAATGAGCTAAGGAAATTTGATAACTAACACATGACTTTATATTTCAGTATTAAAACTTTATTACTGCAATGAATATGGGTACTGGGCCATAGAGCCAAACCCCCAAAAAAATCTCCAAATGGAGCTAATGAAAATTATGAGGCAGACCAAGAGGAAATCAAGCAGAAGTCCTAAAATAAATCAAATACTCCATAAAGCCATACATGAATGCCAATGTCTATGAACAGGATTACCATATGCCTTATAGACCAATCATGTTATATGAGGCTTTTACTATAAAACTCATAGAATCTAATTGATTCTCAAGGCTTTAAAGGAATTAGAATCTGGCCAAAACTCCACCATATTTATAAGAGTCCTCTTCAATATAACCATCAAGGGACCACCCGGCCTCTGCTTAAAACTGCCCAGGGATAGGGAGCTTATTAACTCCTGAAGCAGCCTATTTCAGCTCCAGAAAGCTCAAATCACTAGAAAGTTCTTTTATTACTAAACTGAAATCTGCTGCTGTGATCTTTCTGTATTCATCCTCTAGGAAGACAGTACATCTGAGGGTTTCCTAAAATGAATGCATATGGTTACTAAAAATTTCTAATGTGTATGCATATCGTGAATGTATACATTTTTCTCCATCAAATGTCAAAAGCATTTATCATATTCACAAAAGTTAAGAATCTCCATTGTAGGGTAATACAGAATAAATCTAAACTTCATCCTGCATGAAAGATACCTGAAGACAAAAATCACACACAGTCTTTGTGTGATTATGAGTCCTCCTTTTTCAAACCAACCATATGTAATTCCTCAACCTGTTTCTCACTTCAGCAGCTTATTGAACTCATTACATTTTTCCAACATGTTAAGTGCCACCTGTATAATATAGTCCCCAAATTAAACACAATACTCTGGATATTCTGCAGCACAAATAAAGCAAGTTTGTCACTGCCCTCTTTCCTGGGTGCTCTACATCTGTTAATGAAGCCTAAGCACTGAACTGTTTCTATCAGTTGGGAAGTTGCTAGCTCTGTGGCCAGGCATTGCTCTATACAAAAGTGAATAAGGACCCAGGAAAGTGGGGTGGCAGTCCAGCCAACAGAGCTGTTCACTTCACTAGCCAGGTGCATGGCCAGGGTCGGGGAAGTCCAGAGCTGTTGAGTCATGGGCCAGCTCTCTTCCATAGGTAGGAGGAAAACCTTAACATATGTACAAGCTGCAAAAGGTCTCTAGGCACCTACTTACTACCACCTAATATTATCAAAATGCCAGGTTGCATCTGTCAATAGACCATCTCTACACAACACTTAAGCAATAAGTCAATCAATCAATAAAAGTTCTCTTCTCTATTCCACAGA